>NC_000023.11:146293787-146596818 GCF_000001405.40 Homo sapiens
AGTTGGCAAATATTTTCTTCCATTATGTGGGTTGTCTCTTCATTTTGTTGACTGTATTCTTTACTGTGCAAAAGTTTTTAACTTGATGTGATTCTATTTGTCAATTATTGCTTTGATTGCTTGTGCTTCTGGGGTAATACTCAAGAAATTTTTGCCCAGATCAATGACCTGGATACTTCTCCTGATGTTTTCTTGTAAAATTTTCATAGTTTGAGGTCTTAGGTTTAAGTATTTAGCCTATTTTAATTTGATTTTCATATATGGTAAGAGATAAGGGTCTACTTTCATTCTTCTGCCTATGGATATCCAGGTTTCCCAACACCATTTATTGAAGAGACTGTCTTTTTCCGAGTGTATATCCTTGGAAACTTTGCAGAAAATGAATTCACTGTAGGTGTGTGGATTTGTTTCTGGGTTCTCTATTTTGTTCCATTGGTCCATGTGTCTGGTTTTATGCCAGTACCATGTTGTTTTGGTTATTATAGTTATGTATTATAATTGGATGTCAGGCAATGTGATTCCTCCAGTTTTGTTCTTGTTTAGCATAGCTGTGGCTATTCTGGGTCTTTTGTGTTTCCATATAAATTTTAGGATTCATTTTTCTATTTCTGTGAAGATTATCTCTGGTATTCTGATAGAGATTGCATTGAATTTGTAGATTGGTTTGGGTAACATAGACATTTCAACAATATTAATTCTTCTATCCATGAACATGATTTTTTTTCATTTTTCAATTTTCTTTTTAATTTCTTTATTGACCTACCCATTATTCAGTGGTATATTATTTATCTTCCATGTATTTGTCTACTTTACAAAATTCCTTTCATTACTAATTTCTAGCTTTATTTCATTGTGGGCAGAAAAGATGCTTGATATTCTTTTAATTTTTTGAATGTTTTAAGACTTATTTTGTGACCTAACCTATGGTCTATCCTTGTGAATGATCCATGTGCAGAGGAAGCAAATGTGTGTTCTCTAGTCATTGGATGAAAGGTTCTGTATATATGTATTAGATCCATTTGGTCTGCAGTGCAGATTATATCTGAAGTTTCTTTCTTAATTTTTGTCTAGAAGATCTGTCCAATGCTAAAAGTGGCTTATTGAAGTCTCCAGCTATTATTGTACTGGGGCCTATCTCTCTTATTAGCTCTAATAATATTTGTGTTGTATATCTGGGAACTCCAATGTTTGGTGCATATATGTTTACACTTGTGATATCCTCTTGCAGAATTGACCCTGTTATTATTATTTAGTGACCTTATTTGTCTCTTCTTATACTTTTTGTCTTGAGATCTGTTTTGTTTGATTAAGTATAGCAACTCTTGCTTTTTTGGGTTTCCATTGACATAGAATATCTTTTTCCATCTCTTTAGTTTCAATCAATATGTGTCTTTATTAGTGAAATGTGTTTCTTATAGGCTGCAGATCAACGGATCTTGTCGTTTTATCCATTCAGCCTGTCTATGTCTTTTCATTGCAGAATTTAGTACATTTACTTTCAATGTTTTTATTGATAAGTAAGAACTTAGTCCTACCATTTTGTTTTTGTTTTCTGATTGTTTTGTTGTCTTCCCATCCTTCTTTCATTTTTTCCTGTCTTTAGTGAAGGTGATTTTTTCTTGTGATATGATTTAGTTTCTTGCTTTTCATTTTTTGTGTGTACACTGTACATTTTTTTATTTGAGGTTACCATGAGGCTTGCAAGTACTGTTGTATAACCCATCATTTTAACCTGATAACAACTTAACACTATTTGCATAAACAGACAAGCAAAGAGAAAGCAAATCAATCTCTATACCTTACCTTCATAACCCAGTTTTTAATCATTTTGTTCTTTTCTATTTATATTAGTTTTTACTGACTAAGTCTTGATAATCTCTTGTAGTTACTATTATTGATTGGTTCATCATCTAGTCTTTCTACTTGAGATAAAAGCAGTTTATATACCACAGTTACAGTGTTATAATATTTTATGTTTTTCTGCATACTTTCTATTACCAGTAAGTTTTGTACCTTCAGGTGATTACTTATTGCTCATTCATTTTTTTTTTAACTTTCTGATTAAAGTACTCCCTTCAGCATTTCTTGTAAGACAGGTCTGGTGTTGATGAACTCTCTCAGCATTTGTTTATCTGGGAAAGCTGTTATTTCTTATTCATATGTGAAGGATATTTTTGCTGAATATACTATTCCAGGGTAAAAGGCTTGTTTTGTTTTGTTTTATTTTATAGCGCTTTAAATAGTTCATGCCACTTTCTCCTGTACTGTAAAGTTTCCACTAAAAAGTCCACTGCCAGACATACTGAAGATGCATTTTATTTTTTTCTTTTCTCTAGCTGATTTTAGGATCCTTTCTTTATCCTTGACCTTTGGGAGTTTCATTATTAAATGCCTTGAGGTAGTCTTCTTTGGATTAAATCTGCTGGGTGTTCTATGACCTTTTGTTACTTGGATATTTATATATTTCTTTATGCTTAGAAAGTGATCTGTTATTATTTCTTTAAATAGACATTCTATCCCTATCTATTTTCCTACCTCCTCTTTAAATCTAACAACTCAGATTTGCCATTTTGAGGCTATTTCCTAGATTCGATAGTGGTGTTTCATAGTATTTTATTCTTTTTTATTTTGTCTCCTCTGTATTTTCAAATAGCCTGTCTTAAAGCTCACTAATTCTTTCTTCTGTTTGATCAATTATGCTATTAAAGGACTCTGATGCATTTTTCAGTAAGTTGTGTTTTCTTGGATGGTGTTAACGCTAGTAGCTGTTCTTTCATGTCTGGGAATCAGAGTTAGATATGCATTGTAGCCTTCAGGGTCTCAACTTGTTTGTAGCTGTCCTTCTTGGGAAGACTTTCCAGATATTTGGAAGGACTTGTGTGCTGTGATCTAAGCTGTATCTGCTTTAGGGGGCACCCCAAGCCTTGTAATAATGTGTTTCTTTCAGAGTCATAGAGGTACTGCCTTGATGGTCTTGGACAAGATCCAGGAGATTTCTCTGCATTACCAGAGAGACAATATTGTTCTCTTCCCTTACTTTCTCCCAAGCAAACAGTTTGCCTCTCTGTTCTGGGCCACCGAAAGGTGGGGGTGGAAATGACACACGCACCCCTGTGTCCACCATTATTATGACTGCACTGGGTCAGACACAAAGCCAGCAAAGCACTGGCTTTCACCCAAGGCCTGCTCTAACCACTCACTGGCTACTACCTATGTTTGCTTAAGGCCCTGGGGCTCTACAGTCTGCAGGTTGCAAAGCCAGCCAGGCCTATGTCCTTCCCTTCAGGTCATCAAGGCCTCTCAGACCCTAGGTGGTCCAGAGGTTTTGTCCAGGAATCAGGGAAGAGAGTAAAAAACCTTAGAAGTCTTTCTAGTGTTCTATTGTACTCTGGCCAAGCTGGTACTCAATCAACAAAAAGCAGTTCTTCCCACTCTCTCCTCTCCTTTCTAAAGGCAGAGGAACCTCACTCCATAGCTGCTGCCACCCCAGGCCATGAGGAGTATGACAGACTACTGGAGATATTCTCTTAAGTTCCAAGCACTCTTAAAAGTCAGCTTGTGGTAAATGTTGCTTGGCCTGGAACTCACTCTTCAGGGAAGTGGGCTCCTTTCTGTCCCAGGGCAGGTTCAGAAATGCAGCCCAAGAATCGAGTCCTAGAATCAGGGGACCCAAGAACCTACTTGGTGCTTTACCCCTCTGTGGCCATGCTGGTACCTAAGGTGCAAGACAAAGTCACCTATATTTTTTTCTTTGCATGTTTCAAGGAAAAGGAGTCTTGCCCTGTAGGCACCACAGCTGGTGAAGTGCTGAGTCTCACTTAATCCAGCATGTCTCTGAAGCTCATCAGAGGCCCTCGACACAGTGCCTGGATATCACTGCTGGTTAGTCAGGGCCCAAGGTCCCTTCAATTAGCAGGTGATGAATGCTGCCATGGCTGGGTTCTTTCCTTCAAGGCAGCAGGTTCCATTATGGCCCAGAGTGTGTCTAGAAATTTCATCCATGTGATATGGCTTGGAATGGGGGCCTTGTGACTCTGACTGGTGCCCTATCTTTCTGAGCCTGTGCTGGTATCCAAGATGCAAGATAATGTCCTCCCCACTCTTCCTTCTTCTCTCCTTAAGAGGAAGGAGGAGGTCTCTTTTGGAGCTACAAGTTGTACAGCCTGGTGTTGTGGGGGGTGATGCCAGCACTTCCATAGCCACACCAGCTGGTGTCTCGGTAGGTCGTATGCACAAGCCCTCCCCACCACCCCTGGTCCCCCGCAACCAAGTCCACTGTCTGGGCCTAGCTCAGCACTAGGACTCACCTAAGAGTTGCAGTTCTTATGGCATAGACTATCTTTCACATTTACTTAGAGATAGAGCAATTTGACTCTCCGTGGAGAGGCTTGTGGGAACTCAAGATCTGGTGACTGGGATCAGTGATTCCCCTCTGGCTTGGGCTGGTTTAAATGCTCCTTCTGTGGGTGGGCATCAGCTGAGTTTGGTTCTGTTTTCCTTTCTGCTCTAACAGGACAGCACTAAGTTTAATGCCTCACAATAGCTGTTCTTCCCCTCCCCTAGTGCCCAGAGAAGCTCTCTTCACCACATAGCTGCTGCCGGGGCTATTGGAGAGTGTGGGGGAATGATAGGTGGAGGCTTCTATTCCAGCATCTTGCTCTGCATATCCAAGTAAATAATAAATTAAGGATTTTTCTCCTTTTCCTTCCTCCCTTATTTTCCCTCCCGTGGGTGACATTCATTATAGTTGTGTGTCTTACGTGATTCTGATATCAGAGAAGAAACACATGTCATCTGCTTGCTGTTTTTTGTTTTTTTGTTTTGACATAGCACATTCCTTCCTACTGTATGGTTTCTCCCGACAAAGACCTTCCTCTGTGGTTTACTCCTACAAACACTGAATTAGTGAATATTGAGCCTCTGCTCTTATGGGAAATAGAGAGTCAGATAGATATACTCATACACATGCACATACACACACCTATGTCTCACATAGATTATAATCTTAAATCCTAAAGCCAACTCATCCTGATTTGCTTCATTTTCTTTACAGTAACTTACTAAAGAGAACAAATGAGGTTTAAAAGTGATAAGTGTCTCACTGATGGCCACCCCACTAAGCAAAGTCAGAGCTGGGGTTGAAGCCTTGTCTAACTGACCCCAGGGCAGGAGTTTCTTGTACTACACTGACTGTCCACTACCCTTTACTGTTGCATCCACTGTTCCATCCTCTGGTTACCTTAGTATGAAAGCTTAAGCAAGAATCCAGTGCATAACCTTGTTTGTTGTCACCTGAGAACATAAGAGTCAAGTGACAAATTTTTAATACTCTATGCATGTACATGAACGACAAGAAAAACTCTCCAAATATTGATTTTGGGGTTACAAATAAATTTTAACAAGTAGGCAAATTTGCAAATACAGTGGAATCCACAAACAATGAAGATCCACTTTATCTTCATTGCTATGGTTTCCAGGTTATTTTGGAACTCAAATGCAAAAATTTAATTCTTTGTACTTATTGGGCCAATTTGTGACCTCCACTAGTCCTAGAAATGTCACACTCTGGATCTAGTTGGTGAATATTAACTACTGTAACTCGAGAGGTTAAGAGTCAAAAGCTTTCCTTTGTTCAAAAACACGAATAACTTTTTACTTGGTTTTCCCTGTGTTAAATGTGAGCACTGAATTAGGTGACATTTGAGATTTTTTTCTAGAATTGTTGTGTTAGTTTCCTATGACTACTTTAACAAATTACCACAAACTTGAAGCTTAAAACAGCAGAATGTATTATCTCACAGAAGTCTGAAATCATTATCACTGGTCCCAAATCAAGGTGTTGTCAAGACCACACTACCTCTGCAGGCTCTAGGAGGTCATTCATTCCCTGTCTCTTCCAATCTCTAACGGCTAACAACAGTCCCTGAGTTGTGGACACATTACTCCAATCCTCAGTATCAACATCTTTAAATATCTGTTTCATCTTCACGTTGCCTTCTTTTCTGTGCATTTGTTAAATCTCCTTCAGTTTCTTTTTTTATGATACATGTAATTCCATTTAAGGTCCACTTGAATAATGCAGGATAATCTGCCCATCTCGAGATCTTTAACTTAATCACATCTTCAAAGAACCTTTGCCTTGTAAAGAAACATTTACAGGTTCCAAGGATTACAACCTGATATTTTTGGGCAGCCATTATTCATCCAACTACAATAGTCCACCATGAATCTTATGTCTCTCCACGAAATAAAAAATCAGGACCTAGAAACCAATAGAGAGCACGTAGCCTATGGTGCTTGTATACGTATTTATATTTCATACGCCACCAGGCTTGGTCTTTATCCAAAGTTATGGAGCTTTATCTAAGTGGGTTATGGTCATTCAAAGTAACATGAGAGAATGTTTCAGATAAGATGTATTGTGCAATATGGCTGTGCTTTTGTCAACAAGCTGATTAGCATCCAAGTCTTCCTCCTAGGAGGGCCTAAAATACGCAACTCCTCTAGAAGCATCTGACGATGAGTTTGTACCTGCTAAAATTTCCTCAGGGCAAATGGTGTAGGTAAGTTATATAATTTCTCTGTCCCTCACAATGGCTAAAGTGAAGTCTGTAGTGACATATTAACAAATTAATTGGTCAGAGACCTGATACTACACAGGCTAACATTAGTCTTATAGATATTTACTATTCAAAAAAGTTAAAATAAACTTAAATGAACAGAATAATTTTGGAAATCTTCTCCCCTCCTGCCATGCGGGATTTATCACTTCAAGGCAGGGTAACCTTGAATAGTCAGACACTTACAAAATGGCTTGCTGGTCTTCCCTAGAATTTCCACACCCACATAAAAGATAGGCTTCCTCTTTAATGATTAACAAACTTTTTTTATGTGGAGGTGATATTTACCACATAAGAACTGTGGTTTTGGTAATTCTGGAGAATCATTGGTTTGTCTCATCCTTTTGAATTCTTGTGTTGGATGATTTGTGGCCCAGTTGGAAGAGATGAAATTACAGGACTAAATAAGAGTAATTTTGCCCCAGTAGAGTATTGATTTCATTGTTGCTTTTTCCTGCAAACCTGAACAATATTCTGGTTGTCTATTTATCTGATTTAGCCACAAACATTGAAGTTAAGTGACTGAACAAATAAGATGAACTCTTTGTCTTTCTAGCTATTATGTACATATACCCTTTTTACTTGTATACTGGAATCTCTATAAATTCAGCCCTGGTTACCACTGCTAGCCAAAGCTTGAAAGGGAATTTTGTGTCCAGTTAAATAATAGATTGGACAATTTCTATAACATTATTTGTCATTTTCTGTATTAAGCATTAGTAAAAGCTAAGGTTATAATGTTAAGGTTGACATCAGGAATGGTGCTCAGTGGGGAAATAAGGAGTTAGGTCCCACCTTTTGTTATTGTTGTTTGCTTTGTTTTTTAGGCTTTTTTAAAAAAATTTACTTGGGATAACATTTCTGCATTTTAAAATACATAGGTAGTTAAGACAAAAGAGATATTTGGTGCTGGGATGAGCTAACTCTTGTGAATTTTGCCTTACTTAGGTTGTGTTTTTTTGGGGCTTTTGTAAAATTGGAGGAATAATATTCTTAGAAATATCTAACGATATACTTTTGATTCTTAATAATGTTACTCATTGAACTGTAATTTAGTAATATTACTTCTGAAGTATGAGAGGATGTATTCAGGCTTTCTCATCCAATATTTTGACTTTCGCTTTTAGAGAATGAATCAACAAGTCCTCTGGATACAATATATTATCTGCTACCTTTAGCCACAGAATTTGAAATTAAGCTTGAGAGAACAGAGTTGTCAAACTGACAGCAGACAAGTATGCCTTCCAAAAAAATAATACTGCAGAATACATAAGAGTGTATCTTCTTATATGCCTGAAGAAACTAAATGTACAAAATGGTCAAAACGTCTAATGACTTCAGATCAAAACTCTGTCTATATTATAAGCTAATAGGCCCTGCTCCTACTCTGATATTTACTTGCCAAAGCCTCTCATTTTTTGGGTTCCAGTTTGACCTTAAATAAAGTGTTGGTGTTATACCACATGATATCAAATTTTTCTTTAATTACAAAAGTTGATTTAATGAAACACAAACATGTTGCAGCAGGCTGGAGACTGATAGTTAAAATGAAATATGAAACAATAAATGCTCGATCTTGCCCATGGGTCCAAAAAGCAAACCACGTACCCAAAGAATGTGGGAGACACAGGTTAATATTGATGAATAGAGTTGACGGGTAGAAGTTTTAGGGTGACAAAAATCATAAGGGGTCACTATATTGTTTAGCCACTGAAGTAGTTAATTAAATACTTCTTTGGATATATCACTCCTGAAGTTTGTAACCTCGACTGAGAGAGATGGCAGTTCCAGCTCCATTGCAGTGGTATGACCATGTAGGGTTGAGAATAGGCATCTGAATGTTGAATAAACATATAAATATCTCGTGAAGACTGAATGAAGAAGTTGAGTGTGGTGCCTCTGGGAGAACACAAATTCTGCCTTCAAATATGTGAAGTTGTGTTTGCCCTTCAAGATCCCTTTTCTACACTTCTCCACTCCCTTGCCTTCTGGCTTCTGATTGGGTTTAGCCAATAAAAACCACCAATAAGATATGGCTAGGGGGGAAGAGAGGAAAGTCAGGGGATTTATTTCCCTATGACGTCCTGGCTAGGGTTTGTCTTAACAGTGGCTGTGCTCTTCTCCTGAAGATCATAGCTCCTGTTGGACGTCCTTCTCTTAAAACTGCCTTTCTCCCTGGAATTCCCCCTCTTGCCCTCTCAGCAACCTGCTAGCCCAGGTTTCTTCAACTCTCTTTCCATCCATGCCCTTGTAAATAGTCACTTTATTTAAATCTTTAGAGTGTGTTTCTCGTCGGAATATTGATGGATAACAGCCTTCATGTAAAAGGCAGACAAAACTGTGTTTCTAGAGGAAAGTGCTAAAATTAAAAGACAGAAGTTCTGAGAAGAGATAGTTTGATTTGGCACTTCTACTACAAGAAATCTCTTAAAATCAATTGGGTGTCCTCAGAAGGTAGAGTACCCCTCTCAGGGGAGGTGTTCAAGCAAAACACTAAAATTTTGTTGTTGTTATCTTTTTTTTTTATTACAAGTAAAACAATTTTATTTGCTGTTGGTCTATAAGCATTTATGTAGCAAAATTATTATTTTATTTTTATTTTTTATTATACTTTAAGTTTTAGGGTACATGTGCACAATGTGCAGGTTAGTTACAGATGTATACATGTGACATGCCGGTGCGCTGCACCCACTAACTCGTCATCTAGACATCACACTCTGGGGACTGTTGTGGGGTGGGGGGAGGGGGGAGGGATATCTTTTTTTTAGAGGGAGAGGAGGAGCATGGGTATAAATGAGCGTTAGAAAGAGGTAACTTTTAAAATGTCATTTAACTTGATGTAAGAAATAGTAAATTGTGTTGAAACATTTTATTTCTTCTCATTTGCCTCTGAGTTTGCCATTGCAAAGTAACCAGAACTCATAAATTGAGTGATGAGCCATGCCACACAACTAGGCTCACCTCTCCAACCTGAGCATCTTGTGTATTTGTGGCATACTAATAGGCACTCCAGGGGAAGGGGTAGCAATAGGCAAGCTGCTGCCCCTTTGCTTTCAAACAGAATCAAAGCTCAGATGTTTGCCTGTACTAGGTGATTTTTATGGTTTCTTTCAGCCTTCTGTTTATTTTCTCCCTCTCTCCTTCCCTCCTTCCTTTCGTTCCTTCCTTTCTTCTTCCCTACGCACCTCTTTCTATACATTCATTCATTCATTCATCTTCTTGTCCCACATTTTCTCAACAATACCAGCATCAAGCAGTGTGCAAGCTGCTGCATTGGAAGGTTACGGAGGAGCAAGGATACATTACCAAAAAGAAAACCAAAAAACAAAACAAAACAAAAAACCAAAAAACATACAGCCCATGCAGCTAACGCAGCTCATGCCTTCTAAGAGTTCACATTCTGGTAGGAGAGATAGAGAGTTACATCATGAAAAAATATTTTGTTCTTATATTCCCACACATTCAGCCTTTGTCAAGCCCTTCTTGAGCCTTTGTGAATCTATTCTTCATCTTTCCCTGTGCTTTTTCATATTCTCAAATGCCACTCCTGTAGCTGCCTCTTTGCACACAATTTCTGCCTCTCAGTCATCTCTTATGACCCTCCTTATCAACCTTAAGAGAACGACACTCACTATTTGGACAAAGAAAAATGCTTACATGTTGCTCTCTGCTTCCAGCAAGTATAATGAAAGGTTGGCATCCTGTGTTTTCCTTTGAGAAAAAAAATAGTCATGAAAAGAACCTGTAGTTATGAGAAGACCAGAAAAAGTACATATAAATGCAACACTGTAACACAGATTAATACAAACAAGTAATTAAATACATTTAAATTTTTTTTTAAAAAAAAATACTGATTGTGCTGAGAAGCCTGGTAAGTCAGCATGTACTAGGAATCTTTGAAGCAACACTAACTATATCAGAATTTCTTCTTTTTTAAGGAGTTTTAATGGGAGTCTCAAATTTCTACACTTTTCAGCCTTACCAGCAAAAAATGTCTTCATTATATTAGCTGCATTGAGATATTGATTTTTTTCCTAGGCCACGGAAAACCATCGCAAGCAACTTACTGTGTTGGCTTTTGAAACTTCAAATACTCCACTATTCCATTAGAGGTCATTCTATATAGAGATATAGGATTATGGATTTAGAATGTAATAGGCTCTGTCAGTCATATTAGGTAAGTGTGTATTGCAAGAAGAAAGAAGGAAATAAAATGACAACCATTGTACAGAGAGTGTGACAAGCCAAGTGAAATAGAATGTTCTCTGCAAAGGAAGTGGTCTTTCCTTGAGTTAAACTGTTGCTCTTAGGACAAGCATGTGCTTTGTAAACTATAGTACTCACAATGGTTCAAAAGCTATTGATGCTTCACCCTCCTCACAACCACCTCTATCATTTAGATGCAGTCCAATATTTGGGGCTCATGGCACTGCCGGATATCACCTACATCATAGTCTCTTATTTGCTTAACTAGCACTGAGTCAAATGTCCTCTTTAATTATAGTCAGTTTGTGATTCTGTGATAAATAGACAACATAATGTGGCATGGGTTAGGGGTATAAGTTTTATTTCCAAAGATACGGTTTGAAGGTGGTTTACTTTTTGCCATTTTATGAAACAGGAGAAACGTCTGGCCACACATCCCAGAGCACTGAAGTAGAAATTCCCTCCCAGCTTTGAGTATCAAGCTTTGTATTGATGGAAGAAGAGAATATGAATAGATATCACACATGTTTATTTTTTTGGCTCTCACCTTTCTCCATGATGTTAACAAGTCTTTAAATTAGATGGTGGTCTTAAATATCATTGGTATATGCCTACAGTGTGCAAACTGGTAGCCACTAGCCATATGTAGCTATTTAAATTGAAATTAATTAAAATTAACTTAAACTAAAAATACAGACACCCCCAAGTCACTCTAATGTACTTAATGTACAATTGCTCAATAACCACATGCGACCAGCAGCTATCAACTGTGAAGTGAAGATACAGGACGTTTTTATTATAACTGAAAGTTATACTGAACAGGACTGATATAGCCATTTCCTAATTTTTTTGCAGGATCTCATGGGAAATTTTGATGTCCCAAAGCTGTGGAGAGTAATAGAAATCTAGTACATGTGATGACTAATGAGCAATAGGGTATTAAGATGACTAAAGAAAAATGGGGCAACGGGCCAAGAAAGGTGCACTATTTTACATGATTTTGCAAAGTATTTTTAGTATTTTGTATTCTATTTGATTTGAATAATTAATGATACTTTAAAAGAAAAGTATAAAGGGTATTTTGAAGGGTTTTGATGTTTACTGCATAGTTTTTGTAGTTAAAACATTGATACATAATAATATATAAATAGACTTTTGCTGCTTTTAAATCAAAGTGTAATAGTTGTTACGGCTTTGGGACTTACCAACTGCTTTCGTGAAATGGCTGTTAAGTATTGACTTAGATAGAAGCCAAGTCTGTGAGGACTGGGCTTGTCCAAGTGTAACATTACATGTCGTATTGCATTGATGTCATGCAGCACTACAATATGGCAGTTTCAGTTATAGTTGCAAGAGCATAGGAATGTCTTCTGAAGCTAATGAAGTGGTATTTATATTACTTCATGGGAACGGCCATTAAAATAATTGCTCACTATATCTTAAAAAATATCCATATGTTAGAAAAAGTTATCTCTCAGAGAAGAAGTAAAGTACATTTTTATAGCTTCTCTGAAAGAAAATGAATGTTTGAAATACTGAAGGATGTTATTGTGCACAGGTGTGTGCTTGTGTGCATGTACATGTGTGCACACGCACGCACACACACACACACACACACCTGATATGGTTTGTCTCCGGGTCCCCACCCAAATCTTATCTTGAATTGTAATCCCATAATCCCCATGTGTTGTGGGAGGGACCCGGTAAAAGATAATTGAATCATGGGGGTGTTTTCCCCCATGCTGTTCTTGTGAGAGTGAGAGTGAGTGAGTTCTCACAAGATCTGATAGTTTTATAAGGGGCTTCCCCCTTCGCTGAACACTCATTCTCTCTCCTGATGCCATATGAAGAGGTGCCTTCTGCCATGATTGTAAGTTTCCTGAGGCCTTCCAAGCCACGTGGAACTGTGAGTCAATTAAACCTCTTTCCTTTATAAATTGCCCAGTCTTGAGCAGTTCTTTATAGCAGTATGAGAATGGACTAACACAGTAAACTGGTACTGCAGAGAATGGGGTGCTGCTACAAGGATACCCCAAAATGTGGAAGCATCTTTGGAACTGAGTAAAAGGCAGAGGTTGGAATAGTTTGGAGGGCTCAGAAAAAGACAGGAAAATGTGGGAACGTTTGGAATTTCCTAGACATTTGGAGGGCTCAGAAAGCAGAAAGATGCCAGAAAGTTTGGAACTTCCTAGAGACTTGTAGAATGGCTTTCACAAAACTGCTGATGGCAATATAGGCAATGAAGTCCAGGCTGAGGTGATCTCAGAAGGAGATAAAGAACTTTTTGGGAACTGGAGTAAAGGTCCCTCTTGCTATGCTTTAGCAAAGAGACTGGTAGTGTTTTGCCCCTGTCCTAGAGATCTGTGGAACTTTGAACTTGAGAGAGATTATTTAGGGTATCTGGTGGAAGAAATTTCTAAGCAACAAAGTATTCAAGAGATAATGGAGAATAAAAGTTTGGAAAATTTGCAACCTGTCAATGCAGCAGGAAAGAAAAACCCATTTTCTGGGGGAGAAATTCAAGCTGGCTGCAGAAATTTGCATAAATTACATGGATCCAAATGCTAATCAGCAGGAAAAATGGGAAAAACGTCTATGGGGCAAGTGAGAGATCTTCATGACAGCACCTCCCATCACAGGCTGAGAAGCCTAGGATGAAATGATAATTTCTTGGGCCAGGCTCAGAGCCCCCTGCTCTGTGCAGCCTCAGAACCTGGTGCCTTGTGTCCCACCTGCTTCCGATCTAGCTGTGGCTAAAAGGGGCAAAGATACAGCTCAAGCCATTGCTTCCAAGGGTGCAAACCCCAAGTCTTGGCAGCTTCTATATCGTATTGCTCCTACAGGTGCACAGTAGTCAAAAATTGATGCTTTCGAACCACCACCTAGATTTCAGAGGATGTATGGAAACACCTGGATGTCCAGGCAGAAGTTTGCTTCATGGGTTGAGCCCTTATGGAGAGCCTCTGCTAGGGCAGTGCAGAAAGGAAATGTGGGGTCAGAACTCACACAGAGTCCCCACTGGGCCACTGCCTAGTGGAGCTTTGAGAAGAGGACCACTGTCCTACAGACCCCAGAATGGCGGATCTACTGACAGCTTGTACCGTGCACCTGGAAAAGCTGCAGACACTCAATGTCAGCTGGAAAGGCAGCTAGGAGTGGGGCTGTACCCTGCAAAGCCACAGGGGCAGAGCTGTGAAAAGCCATGAGAGCCCACCACTTACATCAGCATGACCTGGAAGTGAGATATGGTATCAAAGGAAATCGTTTTGTAACTATAAGGTTTAATGACTGCCCTATTGGATTTTGGACTTGCATGGGGCCTGTAGCCCCTTTGTTTTGACCATTTTCTCTGATCTGGAATGGTTATATTTACCAAATGCTTGTACCTCCATTGTATCTAAGACTTAACTAACTTGCATTTTATTTCACGGGCTCATAAGTGGAAGGGACTTGCCTAGTCTCAGATGAGACTTTGGACCTGGCATTTGGGTTAAGCCTGGAATGAGTTAAGACTTTGGGAGACTGTTGGGAAGGCATAATTGTGTTTTGAAATGTGAGTTTATGAGATTGGGAGGGGCCAGAAACAAAATGATATGTTTTGGCTCTGTGTCCCCACCCAAATCTCATCTTGAATTTTAATCTCATAATCTCCACATATGTGAGAGAGACCCAGTGGGAGACAATTGAATCATGGGGACGGTTTCTCCCATGCTTTTCTGATGATAGTAAGTGATTTCTCAGAAGATCTGATGGTTTCATAAGGGGCATCTCCCCATTTGCTCATCACTCATTCTCTCTCCTGCTTCCCTGTGAGGAGGTGTCTTCCACCATGATTATAAGTTACCTGAGGCCTCACCAGCCATGTGGAACTGTGAGTTAATTAAACCTCTTTTCTTTATAAATTACCCAGTATCAGGCAGTTTTTTATAGCAGCACGAGAATGGACTAACATAACACCTCTGATGTGGTATTAAGTGAGAGCATTAGGATATAAGATACTTACATAAGTGACTGCTACTTCTTAAATACTGTTTAACACCCCACTCCTTCTGTATGACAAATAGCAGTGTGGCAATAGGTTGGTATGGGATTTTATTTATTGTTCATTGCCTAGAACAATAAATAAGACTTGAGGTGGGAGGGTTCTGACTAGATTCTACCAGTTGCCTTTCCTGTGCTTATAAAAAGACTCTACAAGGGCTTTGCTCCAGGACACTGTCTGCAGATTGATATCATTTAGTCCTCATAGAGTTAGGCTCTTTGTTAGCTGTTTTCCAGGGTGTTAGCATTTAACACTCTTCTGAATACCTCAGGAAAACATACCCATAGAGATGGCTACCCCCTGATAATCCAAAGTCAAAGACTTGTTTTCTTTCTTATTTATTTTATTTTTTTGACAGCGTCTCACTCTGTTACCAGGCTGGAGTGCAGTGGCGTGATCTCGGCTCACTGCAACCTCCGCCTCCCGGGTTGAAGCGATTATCCTGCCTCAGCCTCCTGAGTAGCTGGGAATTCAGGTGTGTGCCACCACGCCCAGCTAATTTTTGTATTTTTAGTAGAGACAGGGTTTCACCATGTTGGCCAGGATGGTCTCGAACTCTTGACCTCATGATCCGCCCACCTCAGCCTCCCAAACTGCTGGGATTACAGGTGTGAGCCACTGCACCTGGCCAAAGACACATTTTCAATTAGGGTTGTCATAGTGATTAAATCAGATGATATGTGTAAAGCACATGACACAGTACTTGGCATTTAAGTGCTCCAACATTGTCAGCTATCTATTAGAGTTCTGCTTCCAGGTGTTGTATTATTTCCTATCCCCAGGCCCTCTTCTGACCACCATGCCATCTAAACAAACTTTTGACTTGCATGCCTCTAAAGTAGCCACAAACTATGCTCTTTAAAACTATCAAGTCAAATATTGGAAAAATTGCCTAAATAAAGTCTATCTCTTGACAGATCCCTTAGTGAGGAATATGAAAGACATGATGTTGGGATCTTATTAAATGTCATTCAGTTGTCTGTTGTTTCTTGTTCACATGTTCTGCTATTCACATTGAGTGACAAACCACTTGCATGACATATGTCAAGACACCAAATTCTCTAGCATCTAGTAGGATATAGCAAAGCACTTTATTTCCATGGGACGTTTTATTCAACTTGGCAAATTGTGGGTGCAAAAATTTTGGAAACACTTACATATAAAATGAAATTGAAGTACAGGGAGATATGAGGGCTTATTTTTTCCTCTCAAAAATATACCATAAAAATTTAATTTGTTTTTTGTTGTCAGATCATAAAAATAACCTGACTTTGATCTGTCACTACCTACTACCCATACACAGTGAATTTGTTTTGGCTAAGAAGGAAGTAGACCAAGTAAGAGCCAAGGAGGGGACATTGTAACCATAGTTTGTATTTCTAAATGGTATCTGCTGGCCAAGGGGTCCTCTAACTCATTATTTAGAAAACTTTCCTGATTTCATGAATTACTTAGGTGCTTAAAAAATAAAGTTATAGTCCCACACCAGACAATCTAAAGCAGATTATTCAGGAGAGAAGTTTGGCATGCTATTTTTAACAAACTTTTCCACTGATTATTATTATCAGAAATTTAAAGAAAAGCTACATAGATACCCTTCCAAACCATAGATAGATGTAAGGATAATTTTAGGGATGCTTGTTAGTGTTTGGGACAACCATTGTGGAATTACTATAGAATTTTATGAAATGTCTCAAAATTTTGATGGATCTAAAATTCATTTCTAGATATAAAGACTTTGGAAAGTGTATTAGCCCATTTTCACACTGCTGATAAAGACATACTTGAGGCTGGGCAATTTTAAAAAGAAAGAGGTTTCATGGACTTACAGTTTCATGCGGCTGGGAAAGCTTCACAATCATGGTGGAAGGAAAGGAGGAGCAACTCACATCTTACATAGATGGCAGCAGGCAAACAGAGAGCTTGTGCAGGGAAACTCCCCCTTATAAAACCATCAAATCTCATGAGACTTATTCACTATCAAGAGAACAGCACGGGAAAGACCTGCCCCCATGATTCAATTACCTCCCATTTGGTCCCTCCCGCAACACATGGGAATTCAAGGTGAAATTTGGGTGGGGACACAGCCAAACAATATCATTCCGCCCCTGGACCATCTCAAAACTCATGTCCTCACATTTGAAAAATCAATCATGACTTCCTAAAAGTCCCACAAAGTCTTAACTCATTTCAGCATTAACTCAAAAGTCCACTGTGCAAAGTCTCATCTGAGACAAGGCAAGTCCCTTCCACCTATGAGACTGTAAAATCAAAAGTAAGTTAGTTACTTCCTAGGTACAATGGGGGTACAGACATTTGGTAAATGCAGCCATTCCAAATGGGAGAAATTTGCCAAAATAAAGGGGCTATAGGCCCCATCCAAGTCCAAAATTCAGCAGGGCAGTCAAAGTTTAAAGCTCCAAAATGATCTCCTTTGACTCCATGTCTCACATCCAGGTCACGTTGATGCAAGAAGTGGGTTCCCATGGTCTTGGCAAGCTCTGCCCCTGTGGCTTTTCAGGGACAGCCTCCCTTCTGGCTGATTTCAGGGGCTGCATTGAGTTTCTGTGGCTTTTCCAGGTCCATGGTGCAAGCTGTCAATGGATCTACCATTCTGGGATCTGGAGGATGGTGGCCTTCTTCTCACAGCTCTACTAGGTGGTGCCCCAGTAGGGACTTTGTGTGGAGGCTCTAACCCCACATTTTACTTCTGTACTGCCCTAGCAGAGGTTCTCCAGGAGAGGCCCACCCCTGCAGCAAACTCTCCCTGGGCATCTAGGTGTTTCCATACATCCTCTGAAATCTAGGTGGAGGTTCCCAAACCTCATTATTGACTTCCATGCACCTGCAGCCTTAAAACCATGTGGAAGCTGCCAAGGCTTGGGGCTTCTGCCGTCTGAAGCAACAGCCCACACTATACCTTGGCCCCTTTTAGCCCTGGCTTGAGTGACTGGAATGCAGTGTACCAAGTCCCTAGGCTGCAAAGAGAAGGGGGGCCCCGGGCCTGGCCCACAAAACCATCTTTTTCTTCATGGCCTCTGGGCCTGTGATGGCAGAGGCTGCTGTGAAGACCTCTGACATGCCCTGGAAACATTTTTCTCATTGTTTTGGGGATTAACATTTGGCTCCTCATTATTTATGCAAATTTCTATAGCCAGCTTCAATTTCTCTTCAGAAAATAGGATTTTCTTTTTTATCATGTTATCAAGCTGCAAATGTTCCAAGTTTTATGCTCTGTTTCCCTTTTAAAACTGGATGCCTTTAACAGCACCCAAGTCACATCTTGAATGCATTGCTGCTTAGGAATTTCTTTTATCAGATACCCTAAATCATTGCTCTCAAGTTCAAAGATTCACAAATCTCTAGGGCAGGGGAAAAATGCTGCCAGTTTCTTTGCTAAAACATAACAAGAGTCACCTTTGCCCCAGTTCTCAACAAGTTCCTCATCTCCCTCTGAGACCACGTCAGCCAGGGTTTTATTGTCTATATCACTATCATCATTGTGGTCAAAGCCATTCAACAAATCTCTAGAAAGTTACAAACTTTCCCACATTTTCTTGTCCTCTTTTGAGCCCTCCAAACTGTTCCATCCTCTGCATGTTACCCAGTTCCAAAGTCACTTCCATATTTTGGGGTAGCTTTACAGCAGCACGCCCCTCTACTGGTGCCAATTTACTGTATTAGCCTGTGTTCACACTGCTGATGAAGACATACCTGTAAGTTCTCTGTGCAGCAAACAAGCATGACATACATATACCTATGTATAAAACCTGCTCGATCTGCACATGTATCCCATTTTTTTTGGAAGAAATACAGAAAAAAAACAAAACATACCTGACACTGGGCAATTTACGATAGAAAGAGGTTTAATGGACTTGCAGTTTCATGTGGCTGGGGAAGCCTCACAATCATAGCAGAAGGCAAGGAGGAGCATGTCATGTCTTACATTCAGGGCAGCAGGCAAAGAGAGAGCTTGTGCAGGGAAACTTCTCCTTTAAAACCATCGGATCTCATGGTACTTATTCACTATCACCTGAACACCATGGGAAAGACCTGTCCCCATTATTCAGTTACCTCCCACTGGGTTCCTGTCACAACACATGGGAATTCAAGATGAAATTTGGGTGGGGACACAGCCAAGCCATATCAGGGAGGATCCCTTGTACTGAGAAATAATCTCCCTTATTGGAGTTGTTCTGATAGAGAAATAATTCATGTACAACAGGTGGAAAATTCCATAGTGGTGCATTTCTTATCAAACGTATACTTTGCTTCCGTGGGGTCTCCTTATGTGGCTCATGCCAACACTTGATTTTTGGATCCATGAATCCTGGCTATGGGAGAAACAGTACCATATATTGGATGCTGATTCAGAACATACATGGGCTTCTGGAGAACGTTGTCCCAGCCCTGCAAGTATTGTCACCTTCTTGGCATTGTCATTGTGATTTCAAAAGACCGTTCCACCGTTCTATCAATCCAGCTGCTTCAGGATGATGGGGAACATGGTGAGACCAGTGAATATCAACAGCATGAACCCACTGCCACACATCTTTAGCCATAAAGTAAGTGACTTGGTCAAAGGCAATGCTGTGTGGAATTCCATGACAGTGGAAAAGGCATTCCATGATTCCACAGATGGTAGTCTTGGCAAAAGAATTGCATGCAGGATAGGCAAACCCATATCTGGAATAAGTGTCTATTCCAGTGAGGACAAACCTCTGCCCTTTCTATGATGGAACAGGTTCAATATAATCAACTGGCCACCAAGTAGCTGCCTGATCACCCTGAGAAATGGTACCATATCGAGGGCTCAGTGTTGATCTATGCTGCTGGCAAATTGGGCACTCAGCAGTGGCTATAGCCAGGTCAGCCTTGGTAAGTGGAAGTCCATGTTGCTGAACCCATGCATAACCTCCATCCCTGCCACCATGGCCACTTTGTTCATGGGCCCATTGGGCAATCATAGGGGTGGCTGGGGAAAGAGGTTGGGTGGTATTCACAGAATGGGTCATCCTCTCCACTTGTTTATTTAAGTCTTCCCTTGCAGAGGTCACCCATTGGTGAGCACTCACATGGGATACAAATATATTCAGTTTTTGACCACTCAGGGAGGTCCATCCACATACCTCTTCCCCAAATTTCTTTATCACCAATTCTTTAATTATGCTTCTTTTAAGTCTCTGACCATCCAGCCAAACCATTGGCCACAGCCCATGAATCAGTATATAATCACACACCTGGCCATTTCTCATTCCATGCAAAGTGCACAAACAGGTGCACTGCTCAAAGTTCTGCCCGCTGGAACAATATCCCTTCACCACTGTCCTTCAGGGATGTCCTAGAAATGGGTTGTAGTGCTGCAGCTCTCCACTTTCTAGTGGTGCCTGTATATTGTGAAGAACCATCTGTGAACCAGGATCTGTCTTCTCTTTCTCTGTCTACTGATCATAGGGAGCTCCCCATGAGGCTGTTGGTGCAGGCTGAGGGAGAGAAGGCATGGTAGCAGAAATGGAGACCATACGCATTTGATCCACTTCCTCATATAACTTATTTGTGCCTTCAGGACCTGATCAAGCCCAATCACATATATACCACTTTTATTTGATGATGGAACATTACTGTGCATGAGCCACTTTATGACTAGATGGGTTAGAAAGCACCCAGTTTATGATAGGCAGTTAAGTTCACATGGTGACTTGATGACCCGTAGTCAAACATTCGGTTTCCACCAAAGCCCAGTAACGGGCCAAGAGCTGTCTCTCAAAAGGAGAGTAGTTATCTGCAGAAGAAGGCAAGGCCTTGCTCCAAAATCCTAGAGATCCCTTCTGTGGTTCTCCTATGGGGAGCTGCCAAAGGCTCCAAACAGCATTCCTATCTTCCACTGACACTGCAAGCACCATTGGATCTGCTGGGTCATATGGCTCAAGTGGCAGAGCAGCTTGCCCAGCAGCCTGCACAGCAGCCTGGACCTGTTGCAGAGCTTTCTCCCGTTCTGGACCACACTCAAAACTGGCAGTCTTTCAGGTCACTCTATCAATGGGCTGAAGTAACACACCCAAATGAGGAATGTGTTGCCTCCAAAATCCAAATAGGCCCATTAGGAGTTGTGTCTCTTTCTTGGTTGTAGGAGGGGCCAAATAGAGCAACTTATCCTTCATCTTAGAAGGAATATCTCAATAGGCCCCACACCACTGGACTCCTAGAAATTTTACTAAGGTAGAAGCTCCCTGAATTTCAGTCAGATTTCACATCCTCTGGCATGCAAATGTCTCACCAATAGGTCCAGTGTGTTTGCTACTTCTTGCTAACTGGATCCAATCAGCATGATGTCATCAATGTAATGGACCAGTGTAATATCTTGCAGAAACGAAAAATGATCAAGGTCTCTGTGAATAAGATTATGACACAAAACTGGAGAGTTGATATACCCTTGAGGTAGGACAGTAAAGGTATATTGCTGGCCTTGCCAGCTAAAGGCAAATTGGTTATGGTGGGCCTTATGGACAGGAACAGGGAAAAAGGCATCTGCCGAGTTAATGGCTGCATACCAGGTACCAGACTTGTTAATTTGCCCAAGCAATGAGACCACATCTGGTACAGTGGCTGCAATTGGAGTCACCACTTGGTTAAGCTTATGATAATCCACTGTCATTCTCCAAGATCCATCAGTCTTCTGCAGAGGCCAAATAGGAGAGTTGAATGGGGATGTGTTGGGAATCACCACCCCTGCATCTTTCAAGTCCTTGATGGTGGCAGTAATATCCACAACCCCTCCAGGGATGTGGTATTGATTATGATTTACTATTTTTCTAGGTAAAGGCAGCCTTAATGGCTTGCATTTGACTTTTCCACCATAATAGCCCTTACCCTACCAGTCAGGGAGTCAATGTGGGAGTTCTGCCAGCTACTAAGTATGTCTATGCTAATTATATATTCTGGCACTGAGGAAATGACCACAGGATGGGGTCCCACTGGACCCACAGTAAGTCGGACCTGAGCCAAAAGAACAGTTACCCTGGTAAAAGGCTGGAGGTCTCCTTGGGATGGGTGGGAGAAAGATTAACAACATAAATTGTTGGTACTGTAGTGGGATCCTTCTTCAAGGGAACCCAGCCTCAACTTCATTCAAGAGCTACTGGGTCTGTAAACTACCTCAAGTCTGGAAATTGATTGAGGGGCTGTGATTCTCTGTTTTTATAATTTAAATTAGTCTTTTTTTCATTTGACCTGTAAGTTTCCTGCTTATATAAACTAAGTAGGAATGCAGTAGGCTTCCTATCAATTTCACTTCTAGGAACACCATGATTAATTAGCCAATACCAGAGCTCCACATGAGGCAGACTCTTCTGATTGCTGCTTTGCCTCTACTGTCCACTATAGTAGCTTCACCCACCTTGCCTTTGATGGTTGAGTGCCACCACATGGTCCCTGCCACCTCAGGATCCAATTATTCCCATTGTATTTAAATATTGTAGTTCAGTTGCTGCGGTTCTCACTGTTAGATCGGACATACAGAGAAAAGCAATTACGGGGCTCTTCAAAGATGCAGGTGCTGCCCTCGTAAATCTATTTTGCAAAACATTGGTCAAGGGCATATCTTCTGGACCCTTCCAGCTGTGATTGGTACGTCTAGAATGACTAATTTGCACCACCATCACAATCTCCTCAAGCCACTATCCTCCTCAAACTAACACAGGAACATAAAACCAAAAATCAAATACCAGAGAACCAGATAAGAGGTTCTCACTTATAAGTGGGAGCTAAATGATGAGAAAACATGAACACATCGAGGGGAACAACACACACTGGGACCTACTTGAGGGAGGTTAGGAGGAGGTAGAGTATCAGGAAAAATGACTAATGGATACTAGGCTTAATACCTGGGTGATGAAATAATCTACAAAACAAACCCTCATGACACATGTTTACCATGTAACAACCCTGTACATGTACCCCTGAACTTAGAATAAACATTTTTTTAAAAAATTGTGATACTGTCAGTTTATTGTAAATCTCATTTATCAGGTGTAGAAAGTTTTTGTCTATCCTAATTTTATTACATATTCTTATCATAAAAGGGTGCTGATTTTTGCACGCATCTATTGGGATGATCATGGGGTTTTTACCCTTCAGTCTATTCATATGGTGTATTACACTGATTTATTTGTGTATGTTGAATCAACCTTGGAACCCTGGGATAAATAGCACTTTTTGATGTGGTATAATAGTTTCTGTATGTTGCCAGATTTGGTTTGCTAGTTTGTTTGTTTTTTGAGGATTTTTGCATCTATATTCATAAGTAATATTAGTCTGTGGTTTTCTCTTCTTGTGATTTTTTTTTTCTGGTTTTGGTACCAGGGTGAAATTGGCCTTGTAGCATGACTTTGGACTAGGAAATTTTATAAGGGGTAAATACTTGTTTGTATTATTTAAAACTGCCACTGTGACTGAAGGAAATAATCCCTTTTTTTTTTTGCTGACATAGTATGTATGTATTCAATATATACAAAACTAATAATGTACCATGAAATGTAGTACATATTACATTTGAATTTTTAAGAAGGAATTTTCATGTCAACTCAATTTGAGTAGCTATTAAACTGCCATTCAACATAAGTAAATTAATAGTACTTCATGATATATAGCTAACATACATTCATGCAACTATGTTTATTGCATTAACCTTATTTATTCAAAATTTCCAGGACCAAGATAAAGAGATAATTCTACTTGCTAGGCATAGGATGCATTATATCTTCTTTTTTTTATTTCCAGTTTTTGAGTTCAGGGCTACAAGTGCAGGATGTGCAAGTTTGTTACATAGATAAAAGTGTGCCATGGTGGTTGGCTGCATAGATCATCTCATCACCTAGGTATTAAGCCCAGAATTCATTAGCTATTCTTTCTGATGTTCTCCCTCCTCCCACCCACCACCCTCCAACAGGCCCCAGTGTGTGTTGTTCCCCCTCCCATGTGTCCATGTGTTCTCATCGTTCCCAAGCACAGAGCTGTGCAGATTCTCAGTGGCCAACTGGCTGGAGACACCTAAGACTACCCAGGTCCAAGAAGGAAGGGTAGTCATCATTACTGTGGCTGCTTTCGGCCTAAGATGGCTGAGCTCCCTGAGGGAGGGAAGCTGTCTGCTGCCTAAGATGACTGAGCACCTGGGGAAAGGGGTGGCAGACATCACCGAAACTCCAGTCTGCCATTTTCTCCCTGCTGGTCCCAGGGAGACTGGACACTTTGAACCCGGGAGGAATTCCCTACAGTGCAGAACAGCAGCTGTGGCAGATCATGGCCAGACTGCCTTTTTAGGCCAGAGCCTGATCTATCCCTCCTTACTGAGCGAGGCTTCCCTGTTGAAATTTCAGCAACTCTAGCTAGGGGTTTAGGGGCAGGACTCTGATCTCCCTGGGACAAAGCCCCTGGGAAAAGGGGTGGCCATGGTCTCTGTGGGTCAGCAGACTAAGTCTTTCTCCCTGCTGGCTCTGAGGAATCCAGGCAGCCCAGATCAGTGGGATTCTCCCCAGTGTGGCACAACCCCTCTGCCAAGAGGCAGCCAGAGTGCTTTCTTAAGTGGATCCCAGATCATGTGCCTCCTGACTGGGTGAGACTTCCCTCAATGGAGTTGTCAGACACTTTATACAAGAGTACTCCTTCCAGCATGAGGTTGGTGCCCCTCTGAAACAGAGATCACATAAGAAGGAGTGGGCACCCATCTTTCCTGTTCTGCAGCCTCCACTGGTGACACTTTCAGGTGTGGGAGGGACCAGGTGCATAGGGTCTGGAGTGGGCTGCCAGCAAACTGTAGCAACCCTATGGAAAGGGGGCCTGACTGTTAAAAAAATAAATAAAATAAAATAAAATAACAGAGAGCAACAACAGCACCAACACAAAAGTCCCCACAAAAACCCCTTCCAAATGTCAATAGCTTCAAAGATTAAAGCTAGACAAACTCACAAAGATGGGAAAGAATCAACAACAACAACAAAAACAACAACAAAAACGCTGAAAACTCAAAAATCCAGCATGCCTCTTCTTCCTTAAATGATTGCAACACCTCTCCAGTGAGGACACAGAAGTGAGCAGAGGCTTAGATGTATAAATTGACAGAAGTAGGATTCAGAAGGTGGGTAATTATAAACTTTGCTGAGGTAAAGGAGCATGCTCTAATGCAATGCAAAGAAGCTAAGAACCACGATAAAACATTACAGGAGCTGTTAACCAGAATAATCATTTTAGAGAGAAACATAAATGACCTGATGGAGCTGAAAAACACAGCATGAGGACTTCACAGTGCAACCACAAGCAGCAATAACTGAATAGACCAAGCAGAGGAAAGACTTTCAGAGCTTGAAGACTATTTTGCTGAAATAAGACAGGCAGACAGAGTAGACAAAAAAGAATGAAAACGAACAAACAAAAACTTTGAGAACTATGGGATTATGTAAAAAGACCAAACCTATGACTGATTGGGGTACCTAAAAGAGGGAAAATGGAGCCAAGTCAGAAAACTTAACTTCAGGATATTATCCAGGAGAACTTCCTCAACCAAACAAGACAGACCAACATTCAAATCCAGGAAATTCAGAGAAGTCCAGTAAGATACTCCGTGAGAAGATCAACCCTAAGATACATAACCACCAGATTCTCCAAGGTTGAAATTAAGGGAAAAAAATGTTAAGGGCAGCCAGAGAGAATGACCAGATCACCTACAAAGGGAAACCCATCAGACTAACAGTAGACCTCTCAGCAGAAACTCTACAGGCCAGAAGAAATTGGTAGCCAATATTCAACATTCTTAAAGAAAAAAATTTCCAACCCAGCTTTTCTTATCCAGCCACACTAAGCTTCATAAGTGAAGGAGAAATAAAATCCTTTTCAGACAAGCAAATGCTGAGGGAATTTCTCACCACAAGGCCTGCCTTGCAAGAGCTCCTGAAAAAACCCACATGATTATCTTAATAGATGCAGAAAAGGCATTCCATAAAATTCAACACCCCTTCTTGTTAAAAACTCTCAATAAACTAAGTATTGATGGAACAAACCTCAAAATGATGAGTTATTTATGACAATTCTGCAGTCAATATCTTACTGAATGGACCAAAGCTTGAAGCATTTCCCTTGAAAACCAGCACAAGACAAGGATGCCCTCTCTCACCACTCCTATTCAAAGTGGTATTGAAAGTTTTGGCCAGGGCAACCAGGCAAGAGAAATAAATAAATGATATTCAAATAGGAGGAAAGAAAGTCAAACTGTCTCTGTTTGCAGATGACGTGATCTTCTATCTAGAGAACCTCATCATCTTAGCCCAAAAGATGCTTAAGCTAATAAGCAATTTCAGGAAAGTCTCAGGATACAAAATTAATGGGCAAAAATCACATGCATTCCTATACACCAACGATAGACAAGCAGAAGGCCAAATCATGAATAAACTCCCCTTCCCAATTGCTACAAAGAGAATAAAATACCTGGCAATGCAGCTAACAAGGGAAATGAAGGACTTCTTCAAGCAGAACTACAAACCACTACTGAAGGAAGTAAGAGAGGACACAAACAAATGGAAACACATTCCATGCTCATGGATAGGAAGGAATCAATATTATGAAAATGTCCATACTGACCAAAGTAATTTATAGATTCTCTGCTATTCCCATTAAACTACCATTGACATTCTTCACAGAAGTAGAGAATGCTACTTTAAAATTTATATGGAACCCCAAAAGAGCCCTTATAGCCAAGAAAATCCTAAGCAAAAAGAACAAAGCTGGCAGCATCACGCTACCCAACTTCAAACTATACTACAAGACTACAGTAACTAAAACAGCATGGTGCTGGTACAAAAACAGACATAGACTAATGGAACAGAATAGAGATCTCAAAAATAAGACCACACATCTAAAACCATCTGATCTTTGACAAACCTGACAAAAACAAGCAATCGGGAAAGGAATCTCTATTTAATAAATGGTGCTGGAAAAACTGACTAGCCTTAAGCAGAAAATTGCAACTGGACCCCTTCCTTACACCTTATACAAAAATTAATATGGATTAAAGAGTTAAATGTAAAATCCTAAACTATAAAAACCCTAGAAGAAAATATACACAATACTATTCAGGACATAGACAAGGGCAATGCTTTCATGACAAAAACGTCAAAAGCAATTGAAACAAAGCAAAAATTGACAAATGGGATCTACTTAAACTAAAGAGCTTCACACAGCAAAAGAAACTATCATCAGAGTGAACAGACATCCTACAGAATGGGAGAAAACTTCTCAGTCTATCCATCTAACAAAGGTCTAATATCCAGAATCTACAGGGAACTTAAACAAATTTACAAGAAAAAAGCAAACAACCTCATTAAAAAGTAGGCAAAGGACATGAACAGACACTTCTCAAAAGAAGACTTTAATGCAACCAACAAACATGAAAAAAAGCTCAACATCGCTGATCATTAAAGAAATGCAAATCAAAACCACAATGAGATACCATCTTATGCCAATCAGAATGGCAATTATTAAAAAGTAAAGTCACAACAGATGCTGGTGAGGCTGTGGAGAAATAGGGATGATTTTACATTATTGGCGGGAATGTAAATTAGTTCAACCATAGTGGAAGACAGTGTGGCAATTCCTCAAAGACCTAGAACCAGAGACATTATTTGACCCAGCAATCCCATTGCTGGGTATATGTTCAAAGGAATATAAATCATTCTATTATGAAGATACATGCACTCATATGTTCATTGCAGCACTATTCACAATAGCAAAGACATGAAATCAATCCAAATGCCCATCAATGATCGACTGGATTAATAAAATGTGGTACATATACACCATGGAATACTACACAGTCATAAAAAGGAATGTGATCATATCCTTTGCAGGGACATGGATGGAGCTGGAAGCCATTGTCCTCTGCAAACTAACACAGGAACAGAAAATCAAACACTGCATGTTCTCACTTATAAGTGAGAGCTAACAATGAGAACATATGGAGATAGGGAGGAGAACAACTCACCCTGTGGCCTGTCAGGGTGTTGACGGGAGAGAGGCATCAGGATAAATAGCTAATGCACGTGGAACTTAAAACATAGGTGATGGGGTGATAGGTGCAGCAAATCACCATGGCACAGGTTTACCTATGTAACAAACCTGCACGTCCTGTACATGTATCCCAGAGATTGAAATAAAATTTAATTATTTTTTTTTAAAAAAGTATAACAAGGGAATATTATGAACAATTTCATGCCAATAAATTCAACAACTTAGATGAAATTGACAAATTGCTTTAAAGACGCACTGCAAAAGCTCACAGAAGAAATTATAGACAACTTGAATGGAGATTTATGTATTAAAATAATTAAATTTTAAATTTAAAAGCTTCGTGCAAAGAAAATGACGAGCTAATAATTCTTTATTGGTGAATTCTGCTATATTAGTTTTCTATTGTTTCGATAACAAATTACCACAAACTTGGTGATTTAAACAATACACATTTATTATTTTACTAATCTGTAAGTCAGAAGTCTGACATGGACTAAAATCAATGTGTTGGCAGGGCTAGATTTATTTCTGGAGGCTCAAGATAATCAATTTTCTTGCCTTTTTCAGCTTCTAGAGGCTGCCTGTCTTCCTTGGCTTATGGCTCCCTTCCATCTTCAAAGCCAGCAATGGTCAGTTGAGTCTCACATCACATCACGCTCACACTGATTTTTCCTATTTCTCCTTCCACTTCTATGGAATCTGTTGATTACATTAGAGTCATCTGGATAATCTAGAAAAAAATCTCCCAATATTAAGGTCGGCCAAATAGCAACTTTACATATATCTGCAACATTAATGTATCTTTACCATGTAAAGAAAAATAACATCATTTTCTCTCATACTATTTCAAAAAGTCAAGGGAGAATACTTTTCAACTAATCAAATGAAGCCAGCATTACCATGATAATAAAACCATAGAATTATGTTACAAAAAATTAAACTCATGAATATAAATGCAAAAATTGTAAATAAGATTTTAGCAAAGCAAATCAAATCCAACAAAATATAAGAACAATGCATAATAACCAGGTATGTTTTATATTAGAAATGCAAATTTGATTTAACAGTAAAAAATAAATCAGTGTAATTCATCATATTAAACAAAAAACCCACGTGATTGTCTCAATATATGCATAAAAGTATCTGAAAAAATCCAACAACCATGTCTAGATGAAAACTCTCAACAAACTAGGAATAGAAAGAAACTTCCTTAATCTGATGAATGTCATCTATGAAAACCCTAAAGCTCATATCATACTTAATGGTGAAAGACTGAATGCCTTCATCCTGTGGTCAGGAAGAAGGCAAGGATGTCTGCTCTCATCAATTCTATTCAACATTGTACTGAAGTATCTAGCCAGTTCAATAAGGCAAGAAAAAGACATACAGATTGGAAAAGAAGTAAAACCATATTTCTTAGTAAATAACATAATCATTTCTGTAGAAAATGCAATGAATTCTACAAAAGTTTTAGAGCTAATACGTGAATGTATCAAAGTTATATGATACAAGATCAATATTCAAAATTTAATTACTTTTCTCTATATTAGGAATAACAATCATAATTTGACATTGAAAACAATAATATTTAGATTAGTACCAAAAATGTGAAATAATTATGGGCAACTTTGACAAACCATCTTCAAGACCTGTACATTGTAAACTACAGACTATTACTCAGAGAAATTAAAGAAGACCTTTATAAATAGAGAAATATGTATTTCTTGTGAGTCAGAGATCCAATACGGTTAAGATATCAATACTTCTAAAATTAATCTATAGATTAAGTGTCGTCAAAATCAAAATCTTAGCAGTCTTTTTCTGTACAAAATGTATGAACTAATTTTAAAATTCATATGGAAATGTGAAAGTACCAGAAAAATAAAACTTTGAAAAAAAAGACCAAAGTTGGAGAAATAAAAATACCTGATTTTAAGGAGTATTAAAGAGATATAATAATCAAGACAGTGTATTAGTATTGTCATAAAATTAGACAAATAGCTCATGGAACAGAAGAGAGTTTCCAGATAAACCCACACATAGAAAGTCTTTGGAATCTGACAAAGGTGAAAAGGCAATGTAGTGAGTTATGTACAATCTTTAAAAAAAAATGGTTCTCGAACAACATTTGGATCTCCATATTCAAAAATATTGAGCTTTGATTCACAACTGTGATTTATATTTAAAAATAAACTGAAATTTGAAGATAGATCTAGTTATAAAACTTAACACTCTAAGACTTCTTGAAAAATATGTAGCCTAAAATCTTTGTGACCTAGGGTTAGGCTATGTTTTCTCAGATATAACACCAAAAGCATATTCCATAAAATTCAAAATTTATACATTGGACTTCATCAATATTAAAAGCTTCTTCCCTTCTAAAGATACTGTAAAAAAAAAGTTAAAAAAGACAAGTCATAAACTGGCAGAAATTCTTTACAAAGGGCCCATCTGATAAAGCCTTCTAGAATCCTTTATCATCTAGAATATGTAAATAATCTTCAGTACTCAATAATAAAATCTAAACTAACCAGTTCTTTAAAAATGAGCTAAATTTTAACAGACACCAGTAAAGAAGATATATGAATGGGAAATAATTCCATGAGAAGATGCTCAACACTATTCGTTATTAGGGTAATGCAAATTACAACCACAATAAGATATTACTATATACCTACTAGAATGTCTAAGGTTAAAATGACTGAGCATACTAAGTATTAGCAAGGATGTAGAGAAATGGAAAGGCTTATCAACTGCTTAGTAGGAATTTAAACTGGGACGACCACTTTGAAAACAGTTTGTCTCTTAAAAAGTTCCGCAACTATTTACAATGTGACCTAGCCATTTCTTTGTGAGGCATTTATGTAAGATAAAGCATATGTCCATATAAAGACTTTTACACAAAAGTTCATAGGTGTTTCACTTGTAATACCCCCAAATTAGAATCAAACCAAATGGCTATGAAGAGATCGCTAACAACTAAATGTTTGCGTTCCCCCAAAATTCATATGTGAGCATCCTAACCCCTAATGTGATGATATAAGAAGGGGGAGCTTGGCCGGGCGCGGTGGCTCACGCCTGTAATCCCAGCACTTTGCGAGGCTGAGGCGGGCGGATCACGAGGTCAGGAGATCAAGACCATCCTGGCTAACACAGTGAAACCCCATCTAACTAAAAATACAAAAAAATTAGCCGGGCGTGGTGGCGGGCGCCTGTAGTCCCAGCTACTCGGGAGGCTGAGGCAGGAAAATGGCGTGAACCCGGGAGGCGGAGCTTGCAGTGAGCCGAGATTGCGCCACTGCACTCCAGCCTGGGCCACAGAGCAAGACTCCGTCTCAAACAAAACAAAACAAAGCAAAACAAAACAAACAAAAAAATACGAAAAAAAAAAACGAAGGTGGAGAGCTTTTAAGAGGTAATTAGATCATAAAGGTGGAGACCCCGTAAATGAGATTAATTCCTTTAGAAAAGAGAATCCAGAGAGTTTCTCTGGATTCTCTTTTCTGCTATGTGAGAATACAATGAAAATTTGCAACCTGGAAGAGAGCAGCCCTCTTCAGAACATAATAATGCTGGCACCCTGCTCTCAGACTTCAGCTTCCAGAACTGTGAAAAAATAAATTTCTGTTGTTTATAAATCACTTCGTCTATCTATTCTGTTATAGCAGTTGGAACTAAAATAGGGATGAACAAATAAATATATTTTGGTGCATTCATACAGTAGAATTCTATTCAGCAATATAAAGAAACGAACTGTTGGATGTAACAACATGGGTAAATCAAAGCGTAATTATGTTGAGTGAGAGAAGCCAGATAAGAAAGTATCTGCTTTATGATGACATTTATATAAAACTTTAAAAATACAAATACTCTCTCATGACAGAAAGCAAATAAGTAATTGCCTAGGGGCTGAAAGTAGAGGTGGGCAGGGGTGGGAGAGAGAGATTACAAAAGGGCTTATGGAAATTTTGGGGGAGTGATGGTTATGTTCATTATGTGGATCAATCATAGGCGATGGTTTCAAAGATGTACAGATGTCAAATCTCATTAAATTTTACACTCTGTATACGTGTAATTCATTATATATCAAATAAACCTCAATTTAAAAAGCAGAAATCAGTTTATTTGTAAAGTGCAATAGGCAGGCATCTGACAAATATTAATTTTTTTTAAAAAAATTGAGAATCAAGGGTTTTATTGTGTCATCATGATCTGAACTAATGCTTGTCAGAGAGGAACTCTAACTCAAGTTTTCTGACTCCACATTCCGTTTTCTGTCCCCTAAATCTCCTGGTCTCAGGGCTACCTTCAATGACAGATAAATATAATTGTTTTAAATTGATAATAGCTTCATATCTACATGATAATTTTAATAGTCTGTATCAATATTTCTTTTATTTTTTTTGGATAATTTCAACTATTAGATTCGGGGGTACATGTGCAGGTTTATTATATGGATATATTTCATGATGCTGAGGTTTGGGATACAAATGATCCCATAACCCAGGTGTGGCTATAGTAAACAAGTTAGTTTTTCAACCCTTGGCTCCTTCCCTCCCTTCTCCCTCGAGTAGTCTCTGGTGTTTATTGTTTCTATCTTTATGTCCACGAATACCCAGTGTTTAACTCCTACTTATAAGTGAGAGAATGTGGTATTTGGTTTTCTGTTTCTGCATTGATTTACTTAGGATAATGTTCTTCAGCGGCACCCATGTTCTTTTTTATGGCCGTGTAGTATTCCATGGTGTGTATGTACCATATTTTATTTATCCAATCCACCCTTGATGGGCACCTGGTTTCATTCCATGTCTTTGCTATTGTGAATAGTGCTGCAATGAACATATGCATGCGTTTGTCTTGGTGATGGAAGATTTTATATTCCTTTGGGTATTTACTCAGTGATGGGATTGCTGGGTTGAGTGGTAGTTCTGTTTATAGCTCTTTGTGGAATTGTCATACTGTTATCCACAATGGTTGAACTAATTTACACTCCCACCAATAATGTACAAGTGTTCCTTTTTCTCTGCAACCTTGCCAATATCTATTATTTTTTGACTTTTAATAATAGCCATTCAGACTTGTGTGAGATGATATTTCCTTATGGTTTTGATTTGCATTTCTCTGGTAATTAGTGATGTTGAGCAGAATATAGCACATTTTTTAAAGAAACAATTTAAATGGTTTTGTGATGTTCTACTGAGTCATTTTAACTGACTGGAATTTTCCTCAAATATTTTTTAATAAGGCAGATATAAAAATAAGTGAACAAATAAACATAAGCATTAAAGATTTCAATGTTAAAACTGAAATTAAACTTCAAATAAGCTATCAATTCAGGGAAGTGATTCCTTAGGGGTTTTGCTGTTTCCCATTGAAGTAAGTAGTTGTTTGGCTAAATTAATCAGTTGGCTTGGTACCATACGGACCATCCTTTCTCACAGTATGGTCTACAGACCAGCACTGTGGACATCATTGTGTGATTGTTAGAAATGCAGTACCTTAGGCCCCACCCAATATCTATGGTATCAAAATCTCTATTTTGATAAGGTCCCACAGTGATTCATATGCACTTTAAAGTTTGAGAAGCCTAGGTATAGATCTCATTTTAAGAAACCTTGCCCAGTGGTAATAAGAAGGGGCTGCTTGTACACCTTACAGCTTCCTCATTATATTTTCCCTAACAAGTGATCTGATTTCTGAAGGAGGTGGAACATAGCAGATCTTCATAAAGTAAAGTAGCTTCCCTCATACTGTTTATTTGTAGGTCAACCACTGCCTCGTTTGTGATATTTCAACAGCACTGGGATGCTCCCCTGGATTTACGAAAGGTAATTTTTTTCATTTATTGTCATTTCTCTCATTGCACCCTGTCCTTATATATTATAGCACTTAATTGGTTTATAATGGTATGTTTATTTAGCTGCTTCCTTATTTCATGCATGCCTTCTCTACACTTTAAAGCCCATAAAAGCAGAAATAATTTCCACTTTGCTGTTCAATTCCTAGCACACAAATAAGTGCACAATAAGTATTTGTTGACTTTCTTTGTTTTAAATTATTCATTGATATATAAACTACATACAGAAAAATTCACAAATCATGAATGTACAACTCCATGAATTATTACAGCGTGATCACATATATGTAAACGTGCTCAGGTCGAGATATAGAATATTGCTGGCACCTCGGAAGCCTCTTATATCCCCTCCTGATTACGTCTCCTCTTTCATCCCCCCACAGAAATATTTGCATGACTTGTGTTTCTTACCTTTGAACTTCATATATATGGAGTCAAGCAATTTATCTTATTTTGGTCCTGCCTTTCTTTCATGCGATGTTGTTTTGGGGCTCTTCCACATTGTTTTATGAAGCAGTAGGTCATTAATTTTCATTGTTGTGCAGTATTACATTGTATGGCTAAACCATAATATAGATGTCCATTGTGGTGATGATGGACATAAAATTTATTTTTCAGTTTTGGGGTATTATGAACAATGTTGCTATGAAAATACTTGAACGTGTCTTTGTGCAAATATTGATGCATTTTTTTTGTTGGGGTTATACTCCAGGGTAGAATTGCTGGGTCATATTTTCAACTGTAGTGGATAATGCCCATTTTCCAACGTGGTTGTATCAACTAGCATTCCCAATAGCTGTTTATGAAGTTTTCCTTTGCTTTACACATTTCATAGCACTTGAAATTGTCAGATTTTAAAATTTTGAGCCATTCTTATGGGTTTGTAATACATTTCCTTTTGGTTTTAATTTTTATTCACCTTATTGCTGATAAGGTTGGGAACCTTTTGATGTTTTTGGTCATTTGTATATTCTCTTTGGTTTTCTCAAGACTTCTGTTCATTTTTCTGTTGAGCTGTTTTTTAATTATTAATTTGCAGGTATTATTTACATATCCGGGTGCAAGATCATTGTCATCGTTTGTGTTTCAGTTTTATGTTGTCATTCTGTTGCTTGGTACTTTATTTTAAAATGGCTGGTTGAAGAAATCACATTGGCAGCTGGATGAAGTGGCTCATGCCTGTAATCCTAGTACTTTGGGAGGCTGAGGTGGGAGGATTGCCTGAGCTCAGGGGTTCGAGACCATCCTGGGCAACATGATGAAACCCTGTGACTACCAAAATACCAAAAATTAGCCAGGCTTGGTGGCGTACGCCTGTAACCTACGTTACTCAGGAGGCTGAGGCATGAGAATTGCTTTAACTCGGGACCTGAGAATGCGCCGCTGTGAAACTGTCTCAAAAAGAAAAAAAATAATAAATAAATAAATCACATTGTTTTACTCTCACCAGACTTTTCTATTGAGGTGTGGCTTTTAAAAATGGCATACCCTTTTTTAATTCTCTAATGCAGAGGGCTTTCTGGTATCACATTGTTTGTATTAGGAGGGTATGATGGTATATAAGTAGATAATTTTGTATTATATTATAATTGATGGGTTGTCCATTCAGACACAGAATGTGATATAAATTTGGCCTGTTTTGCCTATTATTGAAGCAGCTTCATTGTCTGGGGTAAATACGAAGGTTCTTGGTCTCACGGCCAAGGAGATTGAGGTCATGGACACACACACAGACAAAGTGAGTTTGGAGTGGGAGTTTATATAGGCAAAATGAAAGTACAGCTCTCCCTCACAGAGAGGGGTCCTGAGCAGGTTGCCAAGTAGTAGTAACAATGTCAGGGTTTTTATAAATGGGCTAGTGAGGAGGGGATTAGCGAGGAGGGGAGGTCTTATCCTCCTAGGGCACGATGATTCAGCTGGGACCAGGTGTGCTATCTGTATAGAGCAGAGTTTTTAATCATCTCTCACCCCATTACTGGACCATGTAGGCTGACTTTTAGTCTGTGTTTCTTTGTCTAGCTTATCTGGGAGGGAGAGTTTCCATGTCTATTCCCATACATCTTCTTGTAGCTGCAGACATCCCCCTGCCCCCCAGTCTGCTTTTAGTTTCCCTATCTTAGTGGCCTAAAGGGAAGGGAATGTACTTATTAAGACCCACTGTTTTACTGGGCCCATTGTATAAGTATGAAGTTGGGCGATTACCCAGGAGACTCTTCCCACCCCCACTTCTGTGTGGAGCTGTCTTATCTCTGCCTGCTCTTTCAGGCAGCTTGTTGTTAGAAGTGATTTCTTTGAACTGCATGAGGTTAAAAAGGGAGCTATTTTTGAGCTGCTTTTTGTTACAAGGAAAGTTTTCTGCTGGGGACTCGCTTTACCTTAACTGTCTACCTAAATAATTTCTTTCTATTTCCTATAACATTATGGTTTCACACATCACTTTTGTTTGCATAAAACCATACACCATAAAATAGGTTTAAACACTGAAGAACCAGTGTTATGACACTGTGTTTAGCTTTATACATCACATGTAACATAATATGAATGTATACCATTGTTTGTATTTTATCCATGCACGACTTCATGAGTCAGTCCCTATTCCATGTAAAATTCAGAGTTGCACAGTATGGCATTGCATTTTTTTTTTTTTTTGACAGAATATTGCTCTGTTGCCCAGGCTGGAGTGCAGTGGTGAGATCTCGGCTCACTGGCAGCTCCACCTCCTGGGTTCCCATCATTCTCCTGCCTCAGCCTGCCAAGTAGCTGGGACTACAGGCGCCCGCCACCACGCCTGGCTAATTTTTTTTTTTTTTTGTATTTTTAGTAGAGACCGGGTTTCACTGTGTTAGCCAGGATGGTCTCGATCTCCTGACCTTGTGATCTGCCTGCCTCGGCCTCCCAAAGTGCTGGGATTACAGGCGTGAGCCACTGCGCCCGGCCGGCATTGCATTCTTAAAATAGAAGCAGTTTGGAAGAGAATGCTGAGACACCGTGGTTAGGAGGTTTTGAGAAGACTAGGTCTTTCTACCTTTCTTTTCTTTTCTTCTTATTAGCTAATGACCTTGGTAAAATATTATTGTATTAATTTTTTTTTTTTTTGAGACAGAGTTTCGCTCTTGTTGCCCAGACTGGAGTGCAATGGTGCGATCTCGGCTCACCACAAACTCCGACTCCCAGGTTCAAGCAATTCTCCTGCCTCAGCCTCCCGAGTAGCTGGGATTACAGGCATGTGCCACCGCGCCCGGCTAATTTTGTATTTTTAGTAGAGACAGGGTTTCTCCAAGTTGGTCAGGCTGCTCGCGAACTCCCGACCTCAGGTGATCCACCCTCCTTGGCCTCCCAAAGTGCTGGGATTACAGGCGTGAGCCACCGCGCCCGGCGCTTAATGTATTAATTTTTGCTATGCAAAGTGTGGTCCATGGACCAGAAACATCAGCATCACCTGAACTCTTGTTAGAAATGTGTAATTTTCAGTTGTGTAGACTAACACTTCAATGTTTCCGCCTTCACATTTCTGACAGGCTTGCAGTGAGAATGCTGAAGATCCTGAATAAGATTGCAAATGGTGGTTCCGATTCCCTCTCCCTCTTATGACCTTTAGAAAATTGTATAGTTCCAGGTGCATTTTATTACCTAGTATGGAAAAAATGGGTCTCCTGCTCAAGGGTGGGGTGGGGGTTGACACGGAGTGAGTTTCCATTGACTATTCTTCGTAATTTTCTTTAAGAAGGAAATAAACCAAATTCACTAAGAACATTCTCTGGATACTTTATGGTTATATGTTATGCAGAATAAAACCATTAAGTACACTTTATCTTTTTAAACACAATGTGTGAAAATGAATTTGCAGTTTCATGAATGCTTTGTCTTATAACTTCAATGGGATTTCATGTGGAAGTGTCTTCCCAAGTTCACTTTTCGTAATTCTGTTTTTGAATATGTATTGGGAAATACTTTAAGCCTATATATGTCATAAAAATAATAGCTGAAGTAGCCCTTTGGGGAAACTTCATAATATTGGTATTGCTATTTTAGTGCATTCATAATTAAATGGGAGAGCAGGAGAGCCATGAGTTTGTGTTTCTTATTATACAAAATCTGCTGATATAATGGAATATGTTATGGCCACTATATGTTGTAACAACATAATAGTGTCGTGTTGTTGACACTAATAGGAAAAGTGTCTTTGCATTATAGGTGACTGTACTCTCAGAAAATAAACCAGAGAGATCAATGAAGCACAGACTTCTTTTTCCATTTTTATTTGAAGAGTTATTCCCCTGAGAAAGTAACACTTTTAGGTTATTTGTGCTTGGTGTTATAAAAGAAGACTTGATTCGTGATTGGAAGACAAGGGTCAAAAACCAGTTTTGTGGCTGGGCACGATGGCTCACGCCTGTAATCCCAGCAGTTTGGAAGGTAGACGCAAGTGGATCACCTTAGGTCAGGAGATCCAGACCAGCCTGGCCAACATGGTGAAACCTTGTCCTACTAAAAATACAAAAAAATTAGCCGAGCATGATGGCGGGTGCCTATGACCCCATCTACTTGGGAGGCTGAGGCAGGGGAATCGCTTGAACCTGGGAGGCGGAAGTTGCAGTGAGCCGGGATGGCGCTGCTTCACTCCAGCCTGGGTGAAAGAGCAAAACTCCATCTCAGACAAAACCAAGAACAACAACTACAACAACAAAAAACAGTTTTGTTACTATGCTGGCTTAGGCAAGTCACTTCCTCCCATCAGGCAAAAAAGGAGCTTTAGGAAATGCCCTTCAAGTTCTCTTTGTACTATAGAAGTTAAAACACTTCAGGCAAAATTGAGGGAATACAATAAGAAATCAGAGAAGAATCCTCATTTTTGATTCAAGTAAATCTTAAGATGAGTTTAACTACAGAATGATGAAACTTCAGCAGAAAATTAGTGAATTATGTAACTGCAAAAATTAGTATGAGTTTATAATGAAGGTGTAAAATGAGATATTCAACAGTCCAGACATGAGGAAATGGTGTGATGGATGACTATTTCAAGTGAAAGCTATGACTGATTATTATCCCAAACTATATTGCAGCAGCTGATACTATTGTTAGAAATGCTTGTTCCCCAGTGCTGTAAAGAAATAGCACTTGAACATAAATTTAATTTCCTCAGCAAGGCCATTTTTACTTTCTGCAGAAAGGGTACACTTGCCAGCAGTTTTGCCATGAAAGTACACTGAACAAAGGAGACAGGGTCATTTATAACCTGACACGTCCACCCTACTGCTGCGTCTGGTTTCCGCTGGCTGGAACTGGACCTCACATTCTGTATTTGTCCCGATTGGCTAGCAAGTTAGAACTTTTTAAAAGCGTCGAAGTCAGAGGAGAGCAAAGGAAGGAGGAAGTAACTTGTGGAATGCTGAGAAAGGTAAAAACACCTTCAAATAAGGAAGAGGAACAGGCTATGACCTAATGCTTGCTTGGACCAGTATAAGCATGTCAGGGCAAATATCTAGGCTAAATTCGGGAGCTAAGAACATAAAGTACGTTGATTTCTTTATTACGGCTAGCAGATATTTAAGAATGTTACCACAGGTCTTTGAATGCATTTTGCTTCTAAGAGGAGTTACTATTTATTTCTTATTAGATGAGGAGGAAAGTCTTTGAAGAGGAACCTCTACTTTATTTTTTACACTATTAAGATGTAATAATGATTTACTGCATTTATATGGAGAATTACAGTTTATAATTTTTTCACATGTATTGCAACATTTATTTATCACTGAAAGGGTTTAAGTGGTAGATAAAGCCAAATGAAATTGTGTGTGTGTGTGTGTGTGTGTGCCCACACCTATATTTGTTGGGTGATAAATAGCTGTTTAAAATAAATCTAAAAATACATTTTCCTTAAGGGAACTGCCATTACTCTTTAAAGTCTGTGATAGCTTTAAAAATTTAATTACTACTTGTAGCTGAAGAGGAATATATAAAGTATATTACCATTTAAAGAAAACAAGGCCATTGCATTTCCTTATTCATCCATTGACCTTTTTTTTTGTCATCCATTGACATAGTGAATGTGAGTAGCAATGCCACTTTTGTTAGAACATGTGATTGATGGAATTAGTCTGCGTTTATTATGAATGTTATGGAAAACTAGCTTGACATTTTTTCACTAAAATTTTGTTTTGAAACTTGTGGAAAAGAATATCCAAGTATGTTTTTCACATTGATCAGCAATAATAGATCTTTGATGTTTGCCAGTGTTTGTAACTCTTGTTTTCCCAATCTCTTCAAACAAGTAGGGATGTTACCTGTGAGATTACTACAGTGCCAGCAAGCTCTGGAATTTACAGCAAAGTCATGAGTCACCGTGTTCTTTATAAGTAACATTAATAGAAATAAACGCAATTCTAGAATAAATGTTGCACAGCATATTTTTGGTAATAAATAGTCCTGATGCTTATCCTTAATCTAGGTTGGGGGAGACATTCAGAGATACTGTTGGAGGTAGAAGAAAGTGCACTGGACTAAGAATTAGGAAAACCGCGTTCTAACCCTGAGTCAGTCACTTACTCACTGAGCATCAACATCTTTATCTGTAAATATGAATGCTATTAACACTGTCCAATTCATAGAAAAAACTATTGAGGAACAAGTAATGCACATACACACACACACACACACACACACATAAAAACAAAATACTTCAAACTATAGTGCACTATAGAAATTATATTCACAGTATAGAAAAAATTATAATTTATTAGTAGCCATTAATTGTATGCTACCTATAGTAATGAGAACTTAGGTGTAGAATGAGACATGATGGAGGATATTTTTTAAATTCCAGCTCAGCCCCAAGTAGTTGTGCAGGATTGAGCAAGTGAATTAACTCAACTGGACCCATATTCCTTATCTGAAAAATGAGCCAATTGGATCAGAAAAGTAAATTTCAAGTTGTTTCAATTGTGAAACAATATATTCAAATGACGCCTCAGTGAAGAAGCTTGTTACTTAATACAGATAAAACCACAACTGTTCTGGTTAAATCAGAGGTATAGGGTTTAGGTTATTGCCATTGATTTCTGACTCTACCTCCCTCCACAGTCCCTGAGAACCCTTTGAAACTATTGGACTTAATTTCCTGGCCTTCATTCAGGTCTGTAATATTCATTTCTGATTCATGCCATCATATAAAATCTTGCATTTGTTTAACTCTACAGATATGTTGATTGAATTATTAAGGAGTGTAACATGTCAACACAACTACTATATCTTTACACCATGAAAATCTCTACATTTGGTTTTTTATGAGAAAAATCATTTTGTGACGTATGTTTTCACTTTGCAAAAGCCCAGCCTTGAGGACAGTTTTTCTTCTTGAAAAATGATGGATTGATCTACATTAAGAGGTGGAAGAAAAGTAAGATTTTCTTTATGTAGCAGTCGATCACATAGAATGGAGTGCTGTCTGGTTGGGTATGTAGTAAGTAAATGAAATACTTGCATTTTTTATCCTGGTTTAAAACCAGTACTCCTAATTCCATTTGTTATTACAATTGGTAATTTAGAACCAAAATTGTTGGCACTAGAATTCTGCATCCACAGCTTAACTGCTATGTGATTATAGGAAAATTATTGAACCTCTCTGGGCCTCAGTTTCCCCATCTGTAGAATTGCTGTAAGATTATTGAGGATTAAGTGAGATAACGCATTCAAAGCTCCTTGACCACAGGAGATGACAGTGTTCAGCTACTCTCCACTGTAGTTATCATTGAAAATACAAGTACATTTCACTATTTATTTGGTGTTAGAATAAGCATTTTGTAATTAACCTTTTCTCTGTGCTTTTGGGGAAGATGCTATCAAAAATGAATTTATGTGTAGTCCCCACATTCTATTTGATCTATGTTACTATCTTTCTCCGTAAGAAAACCTATTTAGAACACTATCATGTCAAATATAGCCTGAATTGAGATTTTTCCTCTTTCCTCATTCTACTCTTATTTGAAAGAAGACTTGAATTACAAGTGAGGGGAAAGTACCCCACACAGATCTTGGTAGTGAAAAGGAGCTCAAAGGCCTGCATGTAATCCAGAACTTGGTGAAATCAGTCCTTCCCTAGTTGGAAATGTTCTCTATTAAACTTGGATAATCTGCATGTTTATGAATATTCTTCCTTGACATGAGTCCCAGAGAGATCTATCTTTTTTGATCATAAAAATACACAGGGAAAATTGAAAAACATTAGAATATTGAATTAAAATATTTACTATTCTCAATGTAACATTATGCCAATATATATTACATTTATTCTGCTTCTTAGAGGACAAAAGAATATTATATCTGAGGCAGAAAGACCTATAATGATTGCAAGAAAATTTGAATTACATTTTCATATATCTACAGTGTCATATGACAAAATGAAAAATGTGAATAATGTAGTTAATTCTCAGAAAGATGGCCATTAGAATCCATCTTATTTTATTAGGATATATCAGTGTCATTGGGAGCTGGCTATTATTTTCTCAAAATGCTAAATGATCACATGACTTTATGTTGAAATATCCATGGATGGTTTAAGCAGTCTAGAATGTGATATGGCTACAATGCCTCTTTAATGCAACTATTTTTTAATTTAATTAATATCATGTAGGGGTGTTAAAGTCTCATTATTATTGGATCCTTGAGGGCTGAGACAGTGTCTTCTTCATGTTTTGTAAATCATGTTAATAGATATTTGATGATGACATTTTATATGTTAAAGGTAGTACAGCAAAAGTATTCATTAATATACATGGAGAAAAGATCTTTGATCCAACAATTGTGACATGTTAAGACTTCTTTCATTCCAAGACAATAGTGTAGGTCACATAAATGGGAAAAAATCAAGATACAACAGGATTTGAGTAGGAACCAAACAGTTCTAATTTAGAATAATAGATTGTTTTATTATAAAATAGTCCAGACACACAGAACACTGCAGTAAGTTTTTTTTTGTTTTTTTTGTTTTTTTTGTTTTTTTTTTTGAGACGGAGTCTCGCTCTGTCGCCCAGGCTGGAGTGCAGTGGCGGGATCTCGGCTCACTGCAAGCTCCGCCTCCCGGGTTCACGCCATTCTCCTGCCTCAGCCTCCCAAGTAGCTGGGACTACAGGCGCCCGCCACTACGCCCGGCTAATTTTTTGTATTTTTAGTAGAGACGGGGTTTCACCGTTTTAGCCGGGATGATCTCGATCTCCTGACCTCGTGATCCGCCCGCCTCGGCCTCCCAAAGTGCTGGGATTACAGGCGTGAGCCACCGCGCCCGGCCTGCAGTAAGTTTTATAACCCCTCATGTACACTACTCAAAATAAGCAAAAGTATTAATATGTTACATATTTACTTCAAATAGTTTTCTTAAAGAATACAATATTTCATGCCGTGTGCATTGGCTCATGCCTGTAATTCCAGCACTTTGGGAGGATAAGGCAGGCTGATCACAAGGTCAGGAGTTCGAGACCAGCCTGGCCAATATGGTGAAACCCCATCTCTACTAAAAATACAAAAATTAGTTGGGTGTGGTGGTGGGTGCTTGTAGTCCCAGCTACTTGGGAGGCTGAGGCAGGAGAATTGCTTGAACCCAGGAGGCAGAGGTTGCAGTGAGCTGAGATCGTGCCACTGCACTCCAGCCTGGGTGACAGAGTGAGACTCAGTCTCAAAAAAAAAAAAAAAAAGAAAAGAAAAAAAGAAAAAGAATAAAGCACTTCAGATATGTTTAACTGTTTTCTTTTTGGATCCCCTTTTTAAGCCTTCCTTGGAGGAAGCATCAGCTTGAAGTTGGCATATATAATTCCATTCCATGCTTTTATAATTTCTTTATGCATGTATGCATCTATAATCAATATATAATATTGTTTTGTTCATTCAAAAATGTACATAAATGGTATATCCTATTGCTCATATCATTTTCTTTCACGTCCACTGTGTTATTTAATGTTTCTATTTAGCATACTTGTTCCTTTTCCTTTTCCCTTTTCCATGGATTCCTAAGATTTGGAGTTGTCTTTACTTTTTCCAGCTCTACTTTTTTCTGCTCCACATTGATTTGGAAGTTATGCCTTTGTATTGGTAAGGGTCCAATACACAGAGCAATGCACAGATGACACACTTCAAAGGGGTTATTGAAAAGAGTTGAACAAAAAGACTGCATGCAAAGATGTGGGCAGGGTTAACAAAAACAAGAGATCATGGATAATCCTGAGCATCTTTCTACAGGCTCTAAGAGGCAAAAAGAAGCTATTACTACCCCCGGGTCTGAGAGGCAAGATGAGGCAGCCATTTATAGGGTGAAACAACTGCAAAAGCTGTAGGAGGGGCTCATTCCATAGGAGATGTGGCCTTTACCAGAGTAACACAGCTGTGGCCAAACTAAGAACCTGGAGGATGAGAAAGCCCAGTTGATACAGTCCTTAGAGATAAGCCTCTAGATGCATAGATCAGGGCAAGGAAGAGTTAAGACCAAGCAAATGGTACTGAGAACCCTTTACTCAGGAAAGGGTTCTATTTCTGGTCCTTTAATGGCCACCCTTCACATTTTAAACATATGTGCTTAAACTCTAAAGCTAATCAATGTCTCTTACTCCTTAAGCCTTCAGAAAGATTAAATCCAGACTCTCAAATTGTATTTTTCGTTCCATGTAAATCTAACATCTTATCTTGTTATTTACTTTTTCAAATTTTTCATTGCTATTATTTATTGTCAATATTTATTTACATATAGCAATATGTTTTAACACATTTCTTTGCTTTTTTATCCTACTTCTTCCTTAAAGTTCAATTTTCTTTATAAACATAGAATTGTTATTTTTTTTCCCGGGGAGGCCTCTCATGCCCATAAAGTGGGTCTACTCCTCTTGGTGCACTTCTGTATTAACTGCTTCAGGATTCCCCAGTTCAAGTCTTGTGCTAATTCTTACCTTTGTCCTTTCGCTATACAGTGGTTGGTGCATTTTTGTGTTTCATTATAGCAGTCATTAATGTTTTCACCCAAACTGATTTGGGAGTGGGAGTAGGGCAGAGCAGGACAGGGAAGATTCCTTGCCTTGTGTCTGGGAATACATTTCCTGTGGAAGTACATTTCCCACTTGGTTCTACTTTTAATAATAGACATTATTTGATAGACTTTATTCAGCCATCTCAGTTCTAGCTCCTTAGCCACACGCAGGCCTGAGGCTTCTTCCAAGTTCATATCATTCCTGCTCACCCTTTTGCTATGAGGTCCAGTTTTATTTTTGTTGCTGGAGATTTCCCTTTCTTGCCTTTAGACTTGGGTATATCCTTTTAAAAAAGCCAAGTGCGTGTCATTGAGTCTTTCTGTGTTTGAAGAAAGGGGAGGTGTTTTCTGTGTCAGCATAGTTGGCAATAATGATAGAAATTTACTAGTGGATTATTTCTAGCTCTATAAAGCAATGAAGAATATTTCTGCTTTGTGGGGTTTTTTTTTTTGTTGTTGTTGTTCTATTGCTATTTTTCATCTACTTTTCATATTTATTTCTTTGCTTGGGTGTTTTGATCTCTTTACCTTACTTGGCTTATTTTTCTTTCTACTGTCTTCTTTTACTTGATTCATCATTCAGATGTATTATTTTTTCACATTATAGAAAAATGGAAAGCTAACTTCCCGCTTATTATGGTTTCAGTTCTATTTTAAACTTTATATTTTCTAGTTGTTTCCAAAATCTCAATTGTCTTTTTCTTGTCTCCATACATTGGATGTCTCCCGTATGCTGTGAAAGTTCTTCAATTAGTCACATGTCATCATGTCTCCCTATACTTATGCCTAGATCTTGTCACTTGCTGAGTTCATTTGCTCCTCAGCTTGCTGCATTTGGGTTGTTGCCTGGAGACAACTTCTGGACATTCTTTTTCTCTAGATATCCAGAATGGCAAAACTGAAACACTAAATAAAACTGCCATAAGGTTATTTTTTTCATGAGAAAATATTTTTTTACTCTAATATATTCAGTTGATTTTATCCAATTTCCAGGAAAAAAGTAGACCTTATTTTGGGATTAAAAAATAAATAGAGAACATAAATTATAAATATAAGCTTATCTGGCTGCAGGTTGGTTTTACTTGATATCTGAACCGAGGAAACCTGTATGGCGTTTCCAGTGTAGCTGTAGGAGAAAATCAGCATTCAGGTCTCATTGTTTATATTGGACAGACTTAAGAGGAGATGTTTGAAAATTATTAGGTCTACACATTCAGTTTTGCAAGAAAAACTTCCTACTTCTTATAGCTCAACTTTTCTTTCTCTTTGTTTTTATTTTTGTTTTTCTAACATCATGTGTATCTTATTCAAAGCAATATGTGTTAAAAATTTATATAAATGCGTCAAGGCTCATAAAGAAAAACAACACGTCTCCCCTCACATGTCAAAACCCTGTTCTTGTGGATTTTACTTTCCTATTTCAAAATAATGTACATATGCTGCCGGTAATTTTTTTTCAATTTTAGATATTAGCTGTTTTATATACTGTGGAAAGTGTAGATTTAGCCACTACCACACCACCCTCACCTACTCTCAGTTACCCTTTCCTCACCATCCAAATACTGTTAGAATTTTTGGTTTATTGACTAGTCAGTGTCTTTATACAAATTATTCACAAAAGAATCATACACATCTATCTTACCTGCTATTAGTCTTTGTTTGCCTAGACTAGATAATTGCCTTGATTTTTCACTTGATTACTTTTCACCATAAAGTCCTATATTCTTCCTCAAACTCCCCTGTATAACTGTAAAATCTTTCTTCAAGGAGATCAACTATTCTATCATTTTTTGTTTGTTTGTTTTTTCTCTTCTTGAAACTGTCTGTCCTGTTCTTACGGCTCTCTGGCCTGATGTACATTGAAATCTTTTTATTTCCATCTAACCCCATCTTAAGAATCCCCTTCACAATTCTCCTGATATGAATTTCCTGTACTTTGTCCCGTGTTGGTCAGTTTCTTCTGAGAAGAATGTCCAAACACGTGCCTAGGGTATGCGTATCAGAGTTCTCATAGTCTAGAAGGGAAAAAAGAACTGATTTTCAACTGATCTTCGGAACTGACGCAGGATCACTTCTGTCACACTCCATTGATTAAAGAAAATCACAGGGCCAGCCCAGAGTCAAGGTGAAGGAACTACACAGGAGTCTGAATGCTAACAATAATGACTTTCTGGTGATTACTTTGGTGACAGCCTACTTCGGTAAACACATTTCAGACCTGCTTCCTTAACAAAGGGCCTCTGGATTTCCATCTTCCAACATGTTGTTAACCTGTTTTCTATGCTGTTTTCTATTTCCTCATTCCTTTTGCCCCCTTCCTTCCTTCCTTCCTTCCTTCCTTCCTTCCTTCCTTCCTTCCTTCCTTTCCTTCTTCTTTCTTTCTTTCTTTCTTTTTCTTTCTTTCTTTCTTTCTTTCTTTCTTTCTTTCTTTCTTTCTTTCTCTTTCTTTCTTTCTTTTTCTTTTTCTTTCTTTCTTTCTTTCTTTCCTTTCTTTCTTTCCTTCTTTCCTTCTTTCCTTCTTTCCTTCTTTCTTTCTTTCTTTCTTTCTTTCTTTCTTTCTTTCTTTCTTTCTTTTTTTTCCTTTTTCTTTTTTACGGAGTTTTGCTCTTGTTACCCAGGCTGGAGTGAAGTGGCACGATCTCCGCAAACTCCACCTCCCGGGTTCAAGCAATTCTCCTGCCTCAGCCTCCCGAGTAGGTAGGATTAAAGGCATGCACCACCACGCCCGACTAATTTTGTATTTTTAGTAGAGATGGGGTTTCTCCATGTTGGTCAGGCTGATCTTGAACTCCCAACCTCAGGTGATCTGCCTGCCTCGGCCTCCCAAAGTGCTGGGATTACAGGCGTGAGCCACCACACCTGGCCAACCCCCTTTTCTTTCTTTTAGTGTAATTTTATTGAGGATTGTAGGGGTAGTGGTAAAAATGTATATTTCATTCACCAATTTTTAGCCAAACCTCTCCCACCCATTAAAAAAAAATTCCTTCAACTACTCTCCTAATTCAACAGCACTTATTTGAAACTAGTATGGTAAGATGTCACAAATAACCACAGCCACAAATAACTGTGCCTGATTCTCACTAGATTGTTACTCTCATTGCTTTTGGCCTAGTTTTATGGTTATATTATGACATAGAAATATTATTTATTAAATCATAGTTTTTCAAAATCTGAAAAAAATTTAGTGGCAAATTAGACATCTGAAGTGAAATGATATTTCTTGGCTTTGATTTTGTTTATATTTTCCATAGACAACAGAATGGAGATATGTACGATAGGATGAGCCCCACTGGGGTGGAGCAGGACTCAAAGAGGAACTGACATTCAAGTCTATTGCATGCGATCTGAGAAGGTGCCCCCTTTAGTTATAGGAAGACAGTGGAATATAAGTAAAAAGAGTAAGAGGTTTAACTTTAGACTTCTCAGATTACAATCTGACAGGTGGCACATGTTAGCAATATGAGTTTGAGCACTTTCATCTTTCTGATTCCAAGTACTTTGTACCTAAAATTGAGATAATTGAAAGAACCAAAGTCATGTCTATTAAATGAGATCTTACATGTGAAAATAATAATTCAAATTATAAATGTTCTGGAATACTTTATTCTGAAATGTATAAAAATTAATCCCAAGATAATACTTAGACAAATATGCAATTAGTTTTTAGTAGGATATTCACTGAAAAGTTTATAATGGCAAAAGGGTAAAACAACCAAAATGTTCATTAATAAGGGATTCATTACATAAATTATGATCCATTCATACAATGAAGTACTATATTAATTTTCAAAAGAATTAGTTAGATTTGTCCTTTGAGGCAAATAGGAAAGTGGTTAAGAATATAAACTCAAAAGCTCAGCTACCTGGGTTTGCATTCTGGTGAGCTACCCACCAACTGCATGATCAGTGCTTCCGTTTCCTCTTCTATAAAGTATGGAAAGCAGTAGTTACTAATTCATTGGGGAAAGCACTTAGAACATTGATTGGCATATAGTAAGTGCTATATAAATATTTTCTATTATTATTTATTAAGCATTGATTTTCACATAACTACATATGTTGCGTTTTTAGAAATGCTTTGGCCATTTGTTCTGATTGCATTCTTTAAAATCGTGTCACATTTCTTAACATGCTTTATGTGTCAGTTGGTGTTCAATAAGGCACAAGAATTTGACAAGGGGTAGACAATAGGAAACATGTCCTGGGAACCACTAAATAGCTTCTTATTCCGAACTAACATTGACTCCATAAACATTTTCTTAGAGCCTATGTTCGGTAATACATCTGACCTTTGGAAAGAAACAAAAAGGATTTATGCAGAAGGCACATTGCCAACATAGAATAAATTCATGAGTAGGTTGCTTGGTTCTGTATTACCATTACGAAATATGAGAAAATATGAAGTCTGACCCACAGCTAGGAAAGGGTAGAAAAATGTTTATTTCTATGTTCTTAGAAGGGTAATTGAATGGCCCTAGGCCTCTGACCTATAAATGCTATAGACACACAATGACACTGAACACCGAACATTGTATTTCCTTTAAGGCCCCGGTTTATGGTTTCCAAAAATATTACCTGATTTTATCTTCACAACAACCAACAACACTGTGACTTAGTTAGGATGGTGGGTTTATCCCCATTTTATAGGGAAGGGAATGGGCATCACTTACTAAAATCACTTGTGTTGAAGAACATAGTCTAGTAAAAAGCGGAACTGAGACTTCAGTCTTGATTCGCTGAATTCAAGTCCAGTGGTCTTTCCACTATACCATTCAGTTCTTTACCCATTCAATTAAAATCACAAACTTTGTAAACACCTGTCTTAAGTGGAACTCAAAGAAGTAGAAGGCCACCGTCGTCCCTTGCACTATGCTAATTTGATTAGGGAGACAAAATGCAAAATGGTTAAAAAGGGGAGTATCACATGTAAACATGAAAATGATTATTTTGAGATTGTGATTGTCCTTAAAGAATGAATGGAGGAGAATGATTGTATTATGAGCCTTGGGGGCAATTGTGAAGGTTGAGAAGAGGTGGCCGGCAGCAGTAGCATGAGCAAAGGTCTGGAGCACATGATAAACTTGCCCCTGTTGAGAGGGACGGGAGGAGTGGAAACAAAAAATGATGAGAGGACTTGAAGATTAGAAAGATGAGGCCTGTGATGTACAGCTCTATGGGTCTGGCTGAGGCATTGGCCATGATTTTCTAAGCAGCAGGGGAGCACCAGAGCTATTATATAGAGAAATGAAATGAGGAAATTTTAGGAAGATTAGCTTGGCATAAGGTAAGTTGGAGTGAGCTAAAACTAAAGGAGGAAGAACTAAGAAGAAAACTGACACTCCAGTTGTAACTACACTGCACAAGAAATATTTAAACAATAAACCCACACTAGGGCAGGCAGCATTTTCCCATAGAGAGGTCATTTGTTTCTTCCACCCCCATCTCTGTTACCTTTAATGGAGGAAAGGTTCAACAGTAGAAGCTGAGAAATAAATATAGAGCAAATAATTTCTGAGTGTTACAGGGAATTAGTTTTCAAGTTGCACTTTCTCTGTAAGATGTTTTCCCCATTTAAAATCACTAATGTCTACAAACCTCCACTTACATCACAAAAGTAATATATGACACATTCGTGAACAGTTTGTTGAAGGTAATGATGGCTTAAATTCACACTGAAGGCTGAGTGCGGTGGCTCACGCCTGTAATCCCAGCATTTTGGGAGGCCGAGGTGGGTGGATCACCTGAGGTCAGGAGTTCAAGACCAGCCTGGCCAACGCGATGAAACCCCGTCTCCACTAAAAATACGAAAATTAGCCGGGGCTTGTGGTGTGCACCTGTAGTCCCAGCTACTCAAGAGGCTGAGGCAGGAGAATCATTGCTTGAACTCAGGAGGTGGAAGCTGCAGTGAGCTGAGATTGTGCCACTGCACTCCAGCCTGGGTAACAGAGTGAGACTCTGCCTCAAAAAAGAAAAGAAAAAAAAAAAGGAAAAAAAAATTCACACTGAAGGTCTGAAGGTGAGCTACACTTCAGAGTTTTAAGAATTTCTGTGCATTTGGGTTAAAAAGCATTTAACTTACTGGCCCAGAAATAGCTAAAATCATAGACAATTGACATTTGTGTAGTTGAGGCAAAAGGTCTCTGTACTTAAATTTCAGACACTGACACTGAGGGAACTCTCCTGTTTAAATATCATCCCTGGCACATGGATATATGTAGATTGGTGTGCATCCATGAGCGATGTAAATAGAAGGGATTCTTATCAAAATTTCAAAGAAAAAGTTGAGACTAAGACAAATGGGAGAGAATACAACTCCATTTTCCCATTGCCTTCCATAACAGTGGTTAATATTGGACACATGATCCACACTGTGGTTATTCTCATACAGTGGTTAATGATAATAATAATGATTATTTTCTCTCTACATACATATGTATTGCATATTTTTACGAATATCCTGTATGCTAAGTATAGTTATCCTCAATTTACATTACACTGCCTCCTGTCCTGATTCAGTGCCAAGATTGAATATTGTAAGTAAATATTTCCCCTAAAAGAAGAGCATCCAAAGAGGAACTAATTTGGGGCCCATTATGAGGGAAGCTTGGAGATGACTGATGACAGCAGCAATGTACAAAAGTTAAAGACTTGCAAAAGACAGATCAGCAGGTCTAAGAAAATGCCTGCGTATAATGGTCAAGTGGAAGGAGTCACTTGGATGAAAGTTCAGCAAAAAAGCCAGGTAGACCTGGAGAATGGTGATGTCCCTTTAAGTGACAGCAATGGCTGGTTGGACTACACATTTTGGAGGCGAAACCTGTGACCTCATGTTTCATATTTTAGATTTGAAACAATGATGAGATATCTAGGTGGAGGTGGCCTGCAAGGCAGTTAATGTATGAGGTTAGAACCTTAGATAAGTGGTAAGAAAAGAGAAATAACAATTTAAGAGCTATCAGCGTAAAGTCTAGTGAAAGCTGTTATCAGTGGGGGAAAATAAAAATAAAAAGCAGAAGGCTAAGTTCACCCACAGTGAGAAGGAAAAGAACAATAAGACAGCACAGGAGTAACTGTATATATGGACACAAGGTGGCCGGGCGCAGTGACTCACACCTGTAATCCCAGCACTTTGGGAAGCTAAGGCAGGTGGATCACGAGATCAGGAGTTCGAGACCAGCCTGGCCAAGATGGTGAAATCCCGTGTCTACTAAAACTACAAAAATTAGCCAGCCACAGTGGCGGGTGCCTGTAATCCCAGCTACTCGGGAGGCTGAGGCAGGAGAATCGCTTGAACCCGGGAGGCAGAGGTTGCAGTGAGCCGAGATCGCACCACTGCACTGTAGTCTGGGTGACAGGGCAAGACTCAGTCTCAGAAAAAAAAAAAAAAAGATATGGACACAAGGTAAGATTGCCATATTTAACAAAAAGAACACCCAGGTACATTTGAATTTCAGATAAACAAGAAATGCTTTTTTAGTATAGGTATGTCCCAGATATTGCATGGAACATATTTACTCTGAAACAAATCTGTTGTTTATCTAAAATTCACATTTAACTATTTAAGTGGACCTTCTGTATTTCATCTGGCAAATCATATCATTCTGACATGACAACGTGACAAAAGCTGCAAAGGTGTAAAAGGGTCATGAGAAACATTTATGAATTAGCACATTAGAAAGCATCCATTGTTGCAACTTCCTAGTAATTAATGTCATGTCACACATAGTGTCTACTCAGCATGGGAATGTCTTGTCAAGCAATGAATTTCTTGTCTGCCTCTTGTCAAGTAAAGATGCGGCTTTTTTTTTCGATATCTTGACTTGTGTTATTTTAACTGATATCTTTTGGCTAGTTATTTCCTTTTTCCCTGCCATTCTCCATCATTCTGATTTATTTAAATGTTCTTTCAACAAATATTTATTGAACACTTACTATGTGTCTAACACTAAGCAAAGTGCTGGGGATAAAATTGTGGTCAAGATAAGCATATTTTGTTACATCTTGGAAACTATAGGTCTGAGGATGAAAAGACTTGTTAAACAAATAATCATAAAAATCCAATGTAAAATGGTAGCTGAGACAAATACTATAAAGAGCATATCTTGTAATAGGGAGATGATTTCCCGAAGAAGAGGTAATGGATCTGAGGTGTGAAGTATAATTACATAAAGGGAAGGAGGTGGTATCTCAGGCCTATGGGCCAGTACATGCAGAGTTCTGTGATGAAAGAAAACATAGTTGACTAAAAGAATGTCAGTGTAATCAGAGCACAGAGAGTAAGGGTGAGTTTGATGTGACAAAGAGAGTGGAGTCAGAACATATAGAACATATTAAAAAGTTTTGTTTATTCTTAACCTGATAGCATTGCAAAGTTTTAAGGAAGGGAGTAATATGTTCCACACTTTTTAAAAGATCACCCCTGGCTTTCGGAAGAAGATGAATTGGAGCGGAACCAGAACAGCTGCCAGCAATGCAGTTAAGAATTTATAGCAGCAATGTAGTTGAGCTATGGTGGCAGCTTTGACTAGTGAAGTAGTAGTGAATAAGAGGAGAGGTGGGTGGATCCCATTTGTAGGTAAAATACATAAGAATTATGATGATTGGAGATGATAATGAGGGTGGTAGAAGCAACAGTGACAACTCCTGTATTTCTGGCTTATATAGCAAGATAGACAGTGGTACTCTTAATGAGAGAGTGAACAGTGGGGGAAAAATGAAATCCTTTTGGGTAGGAAGTTTATTAGCTCAATTTTAGACATTTTGGTCCTGAGGTGCCTTTGAAACATTGAAGAAATTTCAAATAAACAATTGGAAATACAGAGCTGATACTTAGAAAAGTGGTCTACATGGTCTGCTTGGAACCATCTGTATATAGGTGGTGATTTAAGCCATGAGTGTGGGTGACTTCACCTGGGAATGATGAAATAAGTGAGCTTAGAACCAAGTCATGATGTACTCCAATATTTATTGACCAGGTAGAAGAGTATTCATTTGAAGTAAAAATGGAGAAAAAAGAAGAGAAGGAGAGAAAAGGATAATGCGTCGTGTTAGCCAAGAAAGGAATGTGTCTCCCAAAAAACAGGTGTGGGCAATGATATGAAAAGTTGTTGCAGTAAAGTAAGATGAAAACTGCAAAGTGTCCATTAGCTTTTAGCAACATGGAGGTCAGGAATTTAGTTGTAATGTTGCTGAAAGGCTTACGGAGTCAAATAGAAATGAATGAGAGGTGAGGAAATGCAGAAAGATCATGAGTATAGAGGAATCTTTGAAGGGATTTGGTTAGGACAGGAGGAGAGATAGAAATAACCAGAAAAAGTGTGAGGTTCCATGAGATATTTTTAATTTTTTTTTGGAGGGGGGGGGACTAGGTCTCCCTCTGTCATCCAGGCTGAGTTTTTGTAGGGACGGGGTTTCATCACATTAGCCAGGCTGGTCTTGAACTCCTGGGCTCAAGCGATCCACTTGCCTCAGTCTCCCAAAGTGCTGGCATTACAGGTGTGAGCCACTGTGCGCAGTCTGTTTTTTTGTTTGTTTGTTTATTGCTTTTTGTTTTTATAATGGTGGAGACTTAAGCATGACTAAATCTAATGGAAGGATCTGTATGAAAAAAGTGATTGAATATGCAAAAGAGAGAAGGATAATTGCTACCGTAAGTAGGAGTTCCTGAAAAGGATGGGGCCTTAGGATAAATGAACATTATCCATAGACAGGAGTGGCTCCTCTTATGTGAAAGGTTATAGAAATAGATTATAGATTAGGTATGAAAATAAATTTGGTAACAGAGAAAAGATCATATCTATCTGGTGGCTTTTATTTTCTATGTAAAGTAAAAAGTAAGGTCCTCTGGAAAAGGGAGAAGATGCGTGGTAGAGGAGTTGATTAATTGAGTAGTTTGGAGGATGTCTGAAATAGAAGTTTGGGGAGAGTGGAAATGTTGATTAAAAGGATGTAGTAGTCTAGACAGGCGGTATTGAGGGCAAATGACAGTCGATGTTTATGAATTTGTAGTGGAAGCAATTTGTATTTTTGAGTGTAATATGGTGTCCAATAATATACTAACAAACATTTTTTAACGAGGGTCCCAGCTTGAGCCTAAAATATGCTTGCACTGGGAATCATTAATGTCTGCAGGGCTAGCTGGAGAGACTCCCAGATGTTAAGTGCTAGCACATTCTGCTGTCACAGCATGCGAAGTAAAATGAATAAAATAATTACATAGAATTGCAATGCTTGCATTAGTTCCACCTACTGGTAGTGACCACACTGGAGCTGATAACGCTTATGTACCATCCCTTCAGGAGCTAGGAGAAAATGATGAATCTAACCTGGATATTTCTGGAGTGCAACTTTAGGAAAACTCTTTTTTGGCAAATAAGAGAAAGCAGAAATATGTTGCGGAGGCAGAAGAGCCTTATTGAAATTTCAAATCAGAAAATTCTAAAAATGATGCAGTGATGGATTCAAATATGGTAGTTATCATGTGTTTACCTGATCTCTCCTATAACAGCGGTTTTTCCTATCATTCTCTCTCTTGTGGTTTTCATTAATTCCCAGGGATAATCTCTGTTCTTTCCTCCACTCAACTGTCCATCAATGCTTTTGGAGAGTCAGCCATCATTAAAGTGCCTGCCTCAAAGAGTTATTCGCGATGAATGTAATCAAACATCCTGCCTTTAAACTCTATACTACAAAGGCATATAAGAAAAAAGGTGATGCTAGGTGTGGCTTTGTACAACATACTTTCTGGGCTGTGAGTCTTAAAGAGTAGGAGGACACACAGAAAAAGTCCCACATAAAGGACATATGCTCTCAGGATCACATAGGTGATATGTGTGGTTACACTTACTAATTGTAAAAATAATTTTGGTTTTACCATTCCCAATAAAATGCCCATGATACTACTTTTCCTGTGTATCTGTAAATTGGAAATGATAACATTTGCCTGGATCCTCTCAGAGCTATATAAAATTCCCTTGAGATAATGGCAGAATAGGCTGTAAAACAGCAAGTAAATAGGAGTATTTCCTATATGATAATTCAAATTTTCTTTAATTCCACAGCTATTTTATACACTTGGCTTTGAAGGCAGCTGTGAATTGTGTTGAGCTTTTCCTCATTCAGTCTCTAATTTTATTCTGGAAAGAATTTCCTCTCAAATCCACTCATCATGTACTGAGTGCCCACCATGCCCTAGGCACCGTGTGTGTGCTAAGTGCTGGGGATTTAGTGGCAAAAAACAGCAAACACGTTTCCTGTCCTCATGGAGCTTATAATCAGGTCATGTAAGTACCTCCCTCCCCAATTATACAAAGATAACTTGGAAAAATATTCATTTAAGCTTTCGAATGCCCTGACTTCTAATAGCAACAGTGTTGGGAACCTTGTAATAGTAGCTTTAGGCCCCTGTGTTTACTTGACTGTTTCCATACCTTAGGTCCTTCTCTGAAGGTATTATTAAGTTTGTTACCATTATTGTTAGTATATGCAGCAGCATTGCTGATACCTGCTTAATGATCATTCCTTGGGTTGGTAAAATGTGTAATAACTGTAGCCTGTCATGAGCCAAGATTAAAGGGGCATAAACAGAGTTACCATTTGCATGGTGGTTTACATTTTTGAGAGGAGGTGTGTTATATTTGCGTTAGCTTAGGAGCACTGGCGGAACGTGGGGTTTGATTTGTATTGATATATACAGATATCCTGATTTTATGTATTTTGTTTTACATAAAACATGGTTTTACAGCATCAACACAATAGTTGCTAAGAAACCACATCGTTCCTCCTTCCCTAAGGTTTGATTGCAAGGGATATAAAAGTATGCTGCTATACAAAGCATTTCATTTATGTACATATTCTTCCTGTTATGTCAACAGGACACATTGTTTTTATTCTAAGGCTTGTCTACAAAAGTGGAGAGTGAAAGTGACCATTTCTTTCAAAGTAAAAGCAGAAATGTTGACACAAATGGGTCACTTGGATTAATTTATTTATCAAATTCACCAGTTAATTGCTGAAGTTTCTACTTTATTGCCTGGCTACACTCAGGAAGTATTCAGGCTTACCAATAGTATGTTGACAGGGCAATCTTATGCAATTTGTCAAATTGTCTCTTTCAGGATAACTGTCAATTGAGGGCACATTTGCATACACATTTTAACAGGTGTATTTTGTTGAGTACCCAAGGGCACTCTGACTTTCTTTTCTTTGTTTTGTTAGAAAAATACTCTCCCCACGTTCCTCATATGCGCTGAATAAAAGCACAATAGAGGGAAAATTTGAGTGGATATTTTTCTTTTCAGTTTCTGCATCATTCTGGTTCCAGTTTTTCAGACTTCACAATTTTAAGTGCTAGAAAAAAGAATTCGCAGCTTGTGTTTTCAAGGAATTCACAATTCAGTAAGTAAAGAACGTGTAAAAGGATAATTGCAGGGGTGCGATTGTTGGAGACGTTTGAACCAGAGCAACTCCATCCCAAATAGTGGCTAGGTGAAATAAGGCAGAGGAGGCCTGCTGGACTGCATTCCCAGAAGGTTAAGGCATTCTAAGTCACAGGGTGAGATAGGAGGTCGGCACAAGATACAGATAGTAAAGACCTTGCTGATAAAACAGGTTGCAGTAAAGAAGCTGGCCAAATCCCACTAAAACCAAGATGGTGACGAGAGTGACCTCTTGTCGTCCTCACTACTACACTCCTACCAGGACCATGACAGTTGCAAATGCCATGGCCATGTCAGGAAGTTACCCTATATAGTCTTAAAAGGGGAGGCATGAATAATCCACCCCTTGTTTAGCATATCATCAAGAAATAACCCTAAAATTGGGCAACCAGCAGCCCTTGGGGCTGCTCCTCAGGGCTGCCTGTGGAGTAGCCATTTTTTATTCCTTCACATTCTTAATAAACTTGCTTTCACTTGACTCTCTAGACTCACCTCAAATTCTTTCTTGCTTGAAATCCAAGAACCCTCTGTTGGGTCTGGATAGGGACCGCTTTCCAGTAATAGGATTACTACTGTAATAGACAGTACTGCCATGAAAGTATAAAGGCAATAACAAGCAAATCTACTTGGTCAGGGACAAGAGTTAGGAAAGGCTTCAGGCAGCATAGTGTACTAAAAATAAATGGCACACATGGAGGACTAACTATCTATGAACAGGCCCATATCCTCAGGCAAACACATAGATATTCTGGATAACAGAGAGTTCAAAATCAATGTATACAAACACATCTGCATGTGCATTTACATATATACATATACATGCACATGCACAGTTCTATGCATGCATCTAATCTTATACTGCTTATGTAGGTTAAACACTAGAAGCCCTCAAAACACAGTAAAAATTGGACAAGGGCCATACAATCCTTTTTTGGAAATAGAAAATCACTTCGTAAGGGCATTTTTGTAACCTAGGACACAGAGGCTCAATGAGGAAAACAAAAACAAACCAACTCTAAGCTGGGGACTAGGCCCAGATAAAAGAATTATAAATCATATGATCAAACTAGCAATAATAGAAAGAGCCAGCAAACATAACAAATTACAAACCTAACACCCCGGGAAATTCATATAATAAGGATCTGGAAAAAACTATGAAATATGTATGTTTAAAATGATGGAAAAGGTAAAAGAAAATCTAAAAGTCATAATGAATGAACTGGAGAGTAATTGTTTAAAAAAGAACATACCAAAAAAATCAATAGATAAAATGGAAAAACTAATATGAATACAGATAATTTGATCAACCTAATAAGTGAACTTGATTAACGAACAGGTGCAGAGCATTTCACCCAAATAGTAGAAAATACAGCTCTTTCAAGAACACGTGCAAGAGTTCCAAAAAACAAATGACCTTGGACTATGCTGCAAAAGGTGTCTAAATAATTCCTAAAGGATTTATATTGTATCATGAAGATCATATTTTGTGATTGTAGCAAAATTAAATAAATAGCAATAAAGGGGGCCAATATCACCACTTTTTCATATGTTTGATAATAAAAATTATACTTTTCAGTAACCCATGGATCTAGGGAAAAAAAACAATGAAAATTATGATTTAGTGATGATCAAATGATGAGCAGAGCACCTCATTTAAGAAAATAACAATGCAGTTAAATTGCTCCATAAATGAAAAATTTTAGCCAAAAAGTGTTACATATAAAAGAATGCTGAGAATTAATGTAGTACACACAAAACATAGAAGAAGTATAGAAGAAGAAGAAGAAGAAGAAGAAGAAGAAGAAGAAGAAGAAGAAGAAGAAGAAGAAGAAAGTAAAACTGAAGAAAATAGAAGGAAAGGAAAAATATAAATTACTGAAATTGATTTTTAAATATAGTTTTCTCGTTAGATCAGGAAATCATCAAACCTAAAAGTTGTTTGTTTGAAAATAATAAACATCTGAGAAGATTTCTCAGGAAAAAATAATAGAGTTGGCAAAAAGAAAATAAAATGCTAGTTTAAAAGGTGGTATTGTAGTGTGGAGATTAAAAACATGATAAGATTCAAAATAATAACCTGTCAATAAATTTGAAAGCTTAGATACAGTAGAATTTTGTCAGAAAAATATTTTTAACATTGAAACAGTATTCATATGATGAGTTGATTATGCACAGTGCTTTTATTTTTCAAAAGACATCTAACAGTTAAATCTCAATTAAAAAATAACTTTCTCAGTATGGATGACTAACCATTGTTTCATTTTATTAAAACTATCATAGTATTTCAAACTAAACATGCCGTGTCTAAAATTTATTTGTAAAATTCCAGATTAAAATCCGTTTGAAGAAATTCTTAGCATATTTCTCTGAGCTTGCAGATATTAGCAATGTTTTGTTTTACAACCGTAGCTGAGTTCTGTTCTACTCAACAGCTCTCAGCACTACTTCCTTAACAAGAGGTTATAAGAGCAAATACCCATATTTCAGGGCTGTTAGAAAGTAATGGATTTCTTGGAGCATGATCCTAACACACCTGATAATAATCCAGGCTGGCATAGATTTAGACTTTTCCTTTGTCTTGCTAAAACTTATTCTATAATGCAAGAGTTATTTTATTGACCCACCAGATCCAATTAATTTATGAGTTACAATTTAACCTTATCACCTGATTGGAACTGTGAGAAAGTATTTCAGCTTGACATATTTCTTACTCATCTTAATCTCTTCATATAAAAAACCAAGATTTCTTAGCACTAGGTATTGCCATAAAATATATGAACCAGAAAGAACTGGCTTGAGTAAGGCTTAATTTAAAGCAACTCTGAAAGAAAGAAATGTTGAAAATAAGAAATAAACGTGGCATGATATATTACATAGTTTACTACGCAGGTATAAACACGATGCCATATGCACACACATGAGTGCAGAGGAACTAGAGAATGCATACGTTATCACTCTCATTCCATTTTACAGATGAAGAAACAGACTCAAAGTTTGACAGCCCTTTGTCAAGGTTATATAGTCAACAAATATTTGTGGAAGGACTAATGTTAGGATTTACTCCTTTACTTTGCATTACAGACACCAAAGGAGTGTCTGCAAAGTGAGAACAGTTCCTCACTGGAAGTAAGACACCAGCATGGCACATGTATACATATGTAACTAACCTGCACAATGTGCACATGTACCCTAAAACTTAAAGTATAATAATAAAAGAAAAAAAAAAAAGAAACACATATCTTCTCTGTTTTGGTTCTTTACTAATCACTATTTTCTCATTACTTATTATATACCAGGCACTATAATTGGGTCCTCATTATATAATTGGTGTCCCTTTTGCCTTATTTTCCCCATTTTTATAGCTACTTTTTTTCTTCCATGCTTTTCTGGTACTCTTTGGCTCAAACAATTTTGCTATTTTCAGCAACTCATCAACAGATTCCGCTAAAGCACGCTGGGACTGGATAACGTGGGCTGCCATAACCAGAGGGAGATCCTGTAAGGTGGTTGTCATTTTTGTGCAGAGAAGCAAGGGCTATTTGCTGAGCAGAACGCTTCCTTGTATTGGGCCGTAAGTCAATTTCTTAAGGAGAGGTAGAAGAGAACACTGAAAATTGGAGGAAAGCACCATCCAAAATTTGAAACTATAGTAGGAAATTTTCTCAAGTGTCCTTGACACATTTTTACCAAATGTTGGGAATTTAAGATAACTATTAATTGCATAGGAATATGACATATACTCTGACTGTTTGGCACAGGAATGTCATAGGGCTAAGAGCTACAAACATCACTTGGCTATTCAGTGTAAGGCGACCCCGCATTACGGCCTCCGGCCAGTTCATTATTATTAGGGATGCCCAACTTTTGTATCTGACTGTATTTCCTCGGAAGGACTTGAGGGAGTTTGACTTCTTCTGAACATATGCCAATAACCATAATAAAAATAGAAAATATCATATGATGTCACAAAACCTAGTTAGATGAGATACTTAAATTTCACTTGTTTTCAAAATAATTAGTTGTCTGAACAATTAAAATGCTTTTTCTTGCCAAAACCGTTTCTGTGCTTGCATCCGCAAAGGCAGAACATTGCTTATTCCCAAGATGATGAGCAAACTGGTATTGGATTCCTTGTACTGTAATGGTATGTGGTAGTTTTTCCCTATTAAAAGTCCAGAATTCACTGCAGCTTAGCAAAGATGTCATAACAAAAGCATTTGTCGAAGTTCCTTAGAAGAAACAATTAGAGCTTGTTGGGGAGAGGCTGTGTGTGAATACTAAGTGTCATTTTTATGTTCTGACTGGTTTTAAAGAAATAACGATGTGTTCACAAAATAGAAACATACACTATTACTTCTTTTTGACATGGGCTTCCACTAAAAAATGTCTCAGTCTTCATGTGAGTGTTGCAGTGCCTGGGGATGATACATCCATCCAGTTGATGCTCCAGGCCCATGCTCCTCTGTTATTAACTTGTTTAGATTTTTTGCCAAGTCCATTGTAAGCAAGCAGACTTCTTTTCTTTCCTACTCCATGTTAGTATGCAGAGCAAAATTTTTGTGGAAGTACTGAGGATATTTGGGTCATTTAACTGCAGTAGTAAAATACAAATTTACAGAAAAATTGCTGACATCATCAGTATAAAACATTAACATCTGCAGGTTACACATGCTAGATGCATAATATCTGTTAATCATAGTTGTAATAGACCATTGGGAGTGTGAATCAGGATTGATGTGAAATTTTTGCTACTGTCAGACATACAGAATTCTACTTGTACTATTTAATTTATAAAAATGAAGATAATGCTATATGTGGGTAGGGATATAGGTGAGTACGACATGTTTGAAAATGAATCCAATCTGTTCTTTATTTCTTTTCTTTCCAAAAACATTTGAGTAAGCTTAATATTAATTAATAATATAGAAACATAAACTTTCCATTCCTTTGTTTTTAAAAATGCACTGATTATTTGGGTAAAATTATTTATTTCCATGTTATCTTGTGTGACTTTCCATTATCATCATGACACAGTGATTCTTACCCTTCCCTACTGTTTTCAATTAACTTCAACGTTTTACATATATTTTATTTAATTTACACTTCAATTGTCTTCTCATGTCGGTTTATACTGTATTGAGCTATATCTCTAAGGGCATTGATGAAGTTGATTCTGTATTATAATAATTATGTGTATTGAAAATATATGTGGCCTGAAATGAGGAACTCAGCAATTTGATGGGTTTAAGAGATATGAAAAAAATTAACATTAGAGATTTTTATGATTGAAACTTGGGAGTCGGAGACATAGGAAAATAGTTACAATTGCAAGTGACCGATGACTTTCCCTGGATTTGACAGACTTGACTTTTTTGCATGTGAGTTCTGTCCTTGACAAAAGTAGTAGACAACATTTAGAATCTTCTTTGCACTGGTTTTTCATGCAGTTGGTGATATATAACCAATTCTCCAAATGCCCTTTAAACAGGCCTGCTACTAATCATCAGCTTTTCTCTACATAGCAAATTTGCATTGTTTTTAATAATTTTTATATTACCCCAACCAAAGTCACACATACAGCCAAAGTCGCACTGATTTTTCATGCAGTTGGTGATATATAACCAATTCTCCAAATGCCCTTTAAACAGGCCTGCTACTGATCATCAGCTTTTCTCTACATAGCAGATTTGCATTATTTTTAATAATTTTTGTATTACCCCAACCAAAGTCACACATACTTGAAGAAATTGATTGGATTCAACTAAGACTTGTACCCTGGAGTAAATTTTTCTGAATAATTTAATGATAGATGAGGGGAATGCATTGAAAAAAGAAAATACTAGAAGGGCTACAAAAACATGTAGAGATATTCTGAAAAATGGCACACAAATGGGTAAGGATTAGAAAATTGAGGAGCCAAAGATATGCCACTACATAAATCTAGCAACATCTGAAGACTTGTGGGACAGAAATAAAGTTATGGAAAGAAAAAGAATGATACTCTACATGCAAATTAATTTCAGTCCACAAACAAGGCTTGTAAGAAATTTAGCTCTGTTTTCTAAAACAACTGAATTTCTATTATAAATCCTATTCACTAGGGTAGTATATAATTATTGTGGGTCTACTGAGTGTCCCTTCCTTCCTTTGGGGCTGTGCTTGAAATCTGAAGGAGGTCACATATGTCAAAGTGTTGAAGATTCATTTAGACTACTATTTTATATGCCCACACTGATATTTGATGTGACACCTATTAGTCCATCCTAGCGGCAGTAAAATGGACATACAGGTCACCAGAGTGATACCCATCATTCCTTACCTAAGGTTCCCTTTAGAGACCCCTTTCCCCTGCATTCTTCTCATGTTGGGGCATATATAAAGCATCTACTGCTTCTAAATGACACACGGGAGAAGGAAAATCCATGAGACTGTCTAAGGCTCAGTTTTCCAAATGAGCCACACAGCCAGTTCCACTCTGTAACTTGCCATTTCCCTGATCTGTGCCTTAGCAACAGGGCAGAAGTCTATCTTGCTTTCATATCTACAAACCTATCTAGGGTGATTTACCTACTCCTGGAACTTGGACCTCTCTTTGGGGCCCAACATCATCCACTCTCTTGACTTCCCCTCTGATTCTCTTTTCCTCTAGCCTGGGAACTTCCATTCTAGCTAAGGGGTTATGATGTCTTTCTAACTCTAAAGCTTTCTTTCAAAATTCATTCTCTAAAGAGAATGGAGTTTTGTGTTTCAAAAGCTGGAAGATACTTCTTTTGCTTGAGGCTGTCACTTCCTTTCACTGAATGAATTATTGAGTAGTTCAACCTGGTGGAACAAAGGGCAGAGAGGAGGATACCAAGAAATCACACTGGTTAATATTTTAAAAATATTATCTAGCTATGTAGAAAGCAAAAATAGAATATTCTAGAGAAGGAAGAAGTACAGTGATTGTACGCACCTCATCTAAGTCAACAGCTGCTGGGTCCTACCATCCCTGGGAGCAAATTAGGCTTTAAGGTATTATGGGAAGAGAAAACCAATGCAGATCTTTCTTCTTCTGGAATGGGGCAAGATCGCAAAGACAAGTATATGAGATTTTGGATTAGGGTTACAATGCAGAGATTTGAAAGCCGTGTGCCACAGAGCTCTATGGAACCCCAGGAGAAGATCTATGTCTGTTGCCACCCCAACATTAGTACACTTCATCTATCTGGTCCATAACAGGCCCCAAAGGAGATAAGGAATAGCCTGATTAGGAGATAATTAATAGCCCTGAGTCGGAGAGAGGAGACAGTGAGAACCTGGAGGCTTTCTCCAGGTGACTCATGAGGGAACTAAGTGGCCACCTGCTTCTTCCCTCCTTCCTACAGGAGAAGGGCTTATGCTTCCACCACTCCTCAAGGCGCCATCAGCTTCTTGGATATGGCAGCCAACTGATGTGAATGCTAAAGAGCCAGCAAAGAATAGCAATGCGTCTAAGGGGTCTCAGAGGTCAGTTTAATCTGAACAAACAAGTCATGTGCTCAGCAAATTCAAAATTTAAGTGGAAAAGTGAATGCCAGACAATAGCCAAAAACGTGTGTAAAAGAAAAATAATAAGGCTAGAGAAAGTGATATTTAAACAATGACCCGAGGAAAGAGGTAGCCAAGCTGATACTTAGGGGAAGAGCAACTTAGGCATGGGGGAACATCCAGTACAATCGTTTTAAGGTGTGTTGAAGAGAAACAAGGAGGCCAGTATGGCTACATCCTCTAGCAGTCCAATGACTTTATTAGCATTTTATTCCCTGTATTGGATCCCTGCTTGCTTACAATAGCTGTTGTGGTTTCAATTTCCTTCCCTGAACTCTTACTGATATAGAAATGATACATTTTAGACGTCTGGCAGACACACAAGTAAAGGTGTTGAGAAGGGAGTTTAATATCGGCATATTGAGTCAGACCAGAAGGGCTGGAGATTTAATTTGGGAGTTGTCCACATGTAACTGGTATTTAAACCTAAGAAAGGATGAAATGGCCAAGGGAGTCAGTGTGCATAGAGACCAAGTCTAGAGAGAGAGCCCTTAGATTGATTGCCTACCATTTAGAGGTAATATTCTGGAAGCCAAAGGAATAATAAATCGCTTCACAATCAGGAAAATCATTAACTGGTCAGCTGCTACCACTAGGAATAGTAAAATAAGGCTAATAATTGATTATTGAATTTAGCTTTCTGGAAATCATTGGTAATCTTAGCAAAATAAGCATGAGGGAGTGGTTATGGAATGATGGGTGGGGCAAAATTCTATTTGGTTAGAAATAGTGGTAATGATCCTGAAGCTAAAACTCTTATAGAATGAGAGAGAGTGATCCAGGTTAGTAGGTGACCCTGCAACTGATGGGTAATGGGTTCTACAGTCTGGTGACACAAATTTAAAAGCTGGATGGTATTGGGCACAAAGGAGAAACAGAGTATGGATGTAGCAATAAGAAAGAGAGAGAACATCTACCCTGCCTCTGTAGGGTACTGGGCATAGTAGAACAAAATTGTGATGGAGAAACTAGACACCACTTGAGACGGCTGTAGAGAAACTGGAGCCCTCAAGGGAATTTTGGAAAAAGGAAAAGGGGAGCATTCGGTGAATATTGGTGCTACTGGTATAGAAATAAATGAGTAGAAATAGATCCTCATATAAATGAAAAATGTATGTATGTCAAGAGAAGGATTTCAGATTTGGTGAGATGATGATGGATTATTCATCAAATGGTTCTGGTACAACTAGCTCTCCATCAGGAAGAAAATAAAAATGTATTCCTATCTTATACCAAAAACAAAAATAAATTCCAGAGGGAGTGAGACCTAACAGCTAATATATAAGATACAAATTCTACAAGAATATTTATGAGACTATGGGTATGTTTTAGAGGTGAAGGAATTTTTCTTAAGTAAGACTGTGAATTTAGAAGCTATGAAAGAAAAAACATATTTGTTACATAAATTTTGTCAGTGTTACGGAAAATAACAATGAAAGTGAATGGACAATAGACTTGCAAAACAAAAGAATTGCAACACAAAGTTGAGAGAGAGGTTTCTATTTATAATGTAAAGAGTTCTTACACATTAAAACGAAGACAATGAATTCAGAAGAAAATGGGCAAAGAAATGAATAGGCAGTTTACAAAATAGAAAAAAAATTAAATAAAGAAACACAATTTATAAGTAAAAAAAGTTATAGAAGATTTAATAGATGGATGCTAATTTCAAAAGGGAGATATATTTTTGACCGTAAATTTTATGATATACAATTTACAAAGCCATCCTATATGTAAATTATTATATATATTAATGGTCAATGAATTTATTTAAATAATGAAAAGATATTCTGTCTTTGTGGGGAGATGAATAATCATAATTTTTTTTTTCTGGTCATCGTAATATATTTTTCTAGTCACAGGTGGCAGGATTCTTTTCTTCTCTCCACTCAATGGTTATATTTTTCACTAAAGGTTATTTGAAGATCTTATCTTTTTTTTTTTTTTTTTTTTTAGACAGAGTCTCGCTCTGTCGCCCAGGCTGGAGTGCAGTGGCGCAATCTCGGCTTACTGCAAGCTCCGCCTCCCGGGTTCACGCCATTTCTCCTGCCTCAGCCTCCAGAGTAGCTGGGACTACAGGCGCCCGCCAACACGTCCCGCTAATTTTTTTGTATTTTTGATAGAGACGGGGTTTCACCGTGTTAGCCACGATGGTCTCGATCTCCTGACCTCGTGATCCGGCCGCCTTGGCCTCCCAAAGTGCTGGGATTATAGGCATGAGCCACCGCGCCTGGCCTTGAGGATCTTATCTTCAACTTCTTAATAGAAAAGAGAATTGTCAACCATAGAGTCATTTGTGGATTGCCCCACCTCATGGCATATTTATACACTGTTTGGTGGTGTTGATGACAGATACCATGTTTGAACTTTTCAGTTTCTGACATGATCATATTTTTGCTTTCCTGAATTATACAGAAAAGTTACCCTGTTGCAGGGATAAAGAATAGTTGCTTTGCTTTCAAGAATATTAGAATGTGTTTTCCTGTATATAGTATTTCTAATATAAATATATTTTGCCATTCCTTATCTAGAAGTCTCAAATATTGTTCATCTTTGATAGCTGTTTTCATTTTTCTTTCTCTTAGCTTGCAGTATAGTCACTGAAACCTCCTTTTGCTGACAACGTCACTAATTATAACCCTACGCTACTCCAAGAAACACACACGTGCATACATATGTATGAATACATGTACAATTTACACTTCTTCTGTACTTCAGATTTTCCCTTCACCAAAATCGACTGTCTCTAAATTTTCTAAATTATCTAATTTGCCACATTCATCAATCTGATACAGTATTTTAAATAATCCTGAACTTTTGTGATGGTCGTGAGACATCTGTTTCCCAAATAAGTCTTGCAGTGGTGTTTTGACCTTTTTATAATTTTTTATAGCCAAGCCAATTTTCATTTTTTTGGTCAATTTTATTGCAGAATAATTTATAGGAAATAAACTAAACTTATTGTTAGTAAACAATTCAATAAATTTTGACACTATCAGAATCTGGACATAAAACACTGACATCCCAAAAGTTCCCTGGTGCTTTTTGTAGTCAATTAACTTCCCTCACTTCTAGCCCCAGACAATTAATTATGGTCATTTAATATATACAGAGAGTAGGATATACTGTAAAAGATGCAGTAGGATCTCAGTTTTTTAAAATGATTACATATATGCTTAGAAAAACTACCATATGGGAAAGCACAAATATATTAATGGTGGTTATCACAACGGCAGTATCTCTGGTAAAAGAAAGAGTAGCTTTTCGTTTTGCCATTGCACTTTTGTTGTTTTTTTTTTTTCAGATTCTTCATAATAAGAATGTATAACTTTCTTTTTTTTATTATATTATTATTATACTTTAAGTTTTAGGGTACATGTGCACAATGTGCAGGTTAGTTACATATGTATACTTGTGCCATGCTGGTGTGCTGCACCCATTAACTCGTCATTTAGCATTAGGTATATCTCCCAATGCTATCCCTCCCCCCTCCCCCCACCCCACAACAGTCCCCAGAGTGTGATGTTCTCCTTCCTGTGTCCATGTGTTCTCATTGTTCGATTCCCACCTATGAGTGAGAACATGCGGTGTTTGGTTTTTTGTCCTTGCGATAGTTTACTGAGAATGATGATTTCCACTTTCATCCATGTCCCTACCAAGGACATGAACTCATCATTTTTTATGGCTGCATAGTATTCCATGGTGTATATGTGCCACATTTTCTTGATCCAGTCTATCATTGTTGGACATTTGGGTTGGTTCCAAGTCTTTGCTATTGTGAATAGTGCCGCAATAAGCATACGTGTGCATGTGTCTTTAGAGCAGCATGATTTATAGTCCTTTGGGTATATACCCAGTAATGGGATGGCTGGGTCAAATGGTATTTCTAGTTCTAGATCCCTGAGGAATCGCCACACTGACTTCCACAATGGTTGAACTAGTTTACAGTCCCACCAACAGTGTAAAAGTGTTCCTATTTCTCCACATCCTCTCCAGCACCTGTTGTTTCCTGACTTTTTAATGATCGCCATTCTAACTGGTGTGAGATGGTATCTCATTGTGGTTTTGATTTGCTTTTCTCTGATGGCCAGTGATGGTGAGCATTTTTTCATGTGTTTTTTGGCTGCATAAATACTGCTCATTAACATCCTTTTCCTTCAGATTGAAGTACTCCCTTTAGTTGGGTCAGACCTGAAGCCAGCACAGCACTGTGTCTCACCCAAGGTCTGCTGTAACTACTGCCTGGCTATTGCCAATGTTCCCTCAATATCCCAGGGCTCTAAAATCATCATGTTGTAAAGCCAGCCAGGCTTCTATCATTGCTTTCAGGGTTTTGAGATCCCCCAGGTTTGGGGCAGGTCCAGGGACACCATCTGGGAACCAGGGAGTACAGTAAAAAACCTTAGAAGTCTACCTGGTGTTGTATTGTACTGCTGCTGTGCTGACACTCAAACCATAAGACACAGTTCTTCCAATTCTTACCACCCTTTTTTTTCAGGCACAGGAGCCTCACCCTGGGGATACCAGCACCACAGGACCATGGGGAGTACTGCTGATGTTACCTTTATGGTCAATGTCTCTTTAGTCAGTTTATGGTGAATGCTGCCAGGCCTGGGACTCACACCTCAGGGCAGTGGGCTCCCCTCTGGCCCAGAGCCATTCAAGAAATGTCTTCCAGTAGCCAAGGTATGGATTCTGGGACCCCCAGGAGCTGACTTGGTGTTCTACCCCCCCTTTCCTGAGCTGGTACATAAGATGCAAGATAAAATCCCTTTTGTGTTTCCCTCTACTTTTTGCAATCAAAAGGAGTCTCTCCCCATAGCTACCACAGCTGGGAATGTGCTGAGTCTCATCTGAAGCCAGGTAATCTCAGAGTCTTACCCAAGCCCCACAGCGTACTACCTGGGTATCACTGCTGGTTATTTAGAATCATAGGGCTCTTTAGTCAGTATGTGATGGGTCCTTCCAGGACTAGGTCCTTCCCTTCAAGGCAGTCGTTTCCTTTCTGTCCCAGGCTATGTCTAGAAATGTCGTTTGGTAGCTAGGGCTTGGAAATAGGACCTCAAACTTTGACTGGTGACCTATTCTGCTGTGGCTGATCTGGTAGTCAAAATGCAAGACAAAGTCCTCTTTACTGTTCCCTCTCTTCTTCTCCTCAAGTGAAAAGAAGGGGTGTCTTTTGGACCACAAGCTGTGCAGCATGGGGTTGGGGAAGGGGTGGTGCAAGCACCCCTTTAACTGCACCAGCTGGTGTTTCAGTAGGTCATGTGCTCCCCAAGTTCACTGGCTCTGAGCCCAGTTGTCTACTAGAACTCATTGAGCAGTTGCAGTACCTGTGGCCTAGACTGTATGTTAATATTATTTAGGGAGCCAAAGTAGTTTAGCCCATGGTGGTGAGGCTTGCCAGAATTCAAGTTCCAACTGCTGGTATGGGTGATTCCTTTCTAGCTAGGCCTGGTTTAAATACTCCCTCTGTGGGAGAGTGTCAGCTGAGTTCAGACTAGTTTTGCTTTCTGCTGTGACAGGGCAGCACGAAGATGAATGCAATATCTCACAGAACCAAGTGCGCTGATTTTCTCTCCATGCCACGTGGTCACTGTGAGGGGATGGGGGAGGGGTGGTGTTGCTGCTTAAAGCCTGTCTTTCCTACCTTCTTCCAGTGCCTCTTTCAGTGATTTGAAGTTAAAACCACGTACTCTGAATGCTTATCTTGTTTTTGGTGCATAAGAAGATATTTTGTTGTGTGTATATAGTTTTTAAATTGGTGTCCATTCTATTTGGCCATATTACTCTTAGAAAGATCTAAACTTAAGTTTTAAATGACTGTCTTGTAACTCTTATAAATGTACATATACATATGTGTATGTGTGTTTGTGTGTGTGTGTGTGTATATATATATGTGTATATATATATATATCTTGCTTTTGAGCCCAGTGTTTTTTAACCTCTTCAAGTGTCTAACATGAATTTTATATCCATCCCTTCTAAATAAAATATTTCCTATGCAGTCAAAAACATTTCCATTTGTGTAATTTGTATTGAATTGGTTCATTTACAAACAAGCCATTCACTGCCTAATTGTACTGTGTAAATTTGTTTTCGAAGTGTAGTTTCCTGGACCATGACCATCTGTTATCAGAATCATTACAGTGTGTGTGTGTGTGTGTGTGTGTGTGTGTGTGTGTGTGTGTGTAACATATATAATATATATATAACATATATATTATATAATTGTATATGTTTTATAAATATATGTTTTATATATATACACACACATATATATAAAACATATATGCATATATATATATATCTATAAAACATATATACATATATATGTAAATCCCAGTCCTCTCAGTATCTGGATCTGGAATCTACATAGTTAATAAGTATCCAAGTTTAATAACTATTGATCCATGGCTATATAGTTCTTTATATCCATCCTCAAAGAAAAGGAATGTTCTAAATTCATTAAATTCTAAGATACCGGTTGGTTCCCTGTGATGATGAGTGGAGATATCATGCCTTATTTAAAGGTCTAGGAAACTTGGATTTGACCTCTTTTCATATGATTTCATGATGAGGCTGAGGTAAAAAGAGTGAGATGATCTCTCTTTTTTCCTCCTCTTCTACTCATTAAGCTGTTAAAACTGAGCAAATCCTATGGCTAATGCCTCCAAATTCTAGAGGCCCCGACATCTCTTTGCATCTCTACCTTCTCTTCCTATCTTCCACATCTAAAGATTTTATTAGCTCTACTCTAGGCATTAAAGGAAAAAAATCTTTCTCATTCTCTTTGGATGCTTTATTTCTGACACTCACAGGCATTTCTTAGACCAGCCTTTTCTTTTCAAGTAAGACAAGATTTATAATCCAGTTTTGGGTTTAGGGCAAAAATAACAGTCTAATGACCACTTTTGTTTTTGAGGTTCTCTTAGTCTAACTAGTTAAGAAAAAAGGAGAACTCCAAGGGTTCCAGTCTTGCTTATGAGATATTGTTGACATCTTAGCTGCCTATTTAAGCTTTCTCCACCCCACTGCCTCTCTAAGAATATTTTAATCATGTTCAGGTAGGCGTTCCTCACCCACGTGATTCAGAGGAGGGTGACTTCATCACCAGCTTTAGGAGTAGATCTTGATTTCTTTAACCCAGTGTTTAATTTTTAAAAGGAAATAGAATAACAATGGAGATGCCATTAACATTTTGCAGGAAAATTCTTTGTGAGACTGTCTAGAACATTGCCAGTAGTTCTTTCCAAGCATCGTGACAACCAGAAACACCGCTATACATTTCAGAAATTCCATAAGGTAGTAGTTTGTACCACCGGTACATCTTTTATGGCAGTCCTATTCTCCTTGCTATTGATTAAGAATGAACTTATAAACCCGTGGTGGCCAATTAATACCTGAAAGAGAATCTGCTGGTGGAGAAAGAGTATTCATAATTCTCTTTTTTTAAAAAAATTGGCCAGGCACAGTGGCTCACGCCTGTAATCCCAGCACTTTGGGAGGCCGAGGTGGGCAGATCACGAGGTCAGGAGTTCGAGACCAGCCTGGCCAACATGGTGAAACCCCATCTCTACTAAAAAATACAAAAAGTAGCCGGGCATGGTGGTACATGCCTGTAGTCCCAGCTACTTGGGAGGCTGAGGTGGGAGAATCACTTGAACCTGGAAGGCGGAGGTTGCAGTGAGCCGAGATCATACCACTGTATTCCAACCTGGGCGACAGAGTGAGACTCCATCTCAAAAAAAAAAAAAAAAAAAATTAAGTAACACCAGATAAGAGAGTACCTTCTTTTTCTTTTTGGACTTTCTCATGTATGGATATGCCACTGGGAACTATTGCAGCCATCTTTTCACTAGTCTGAGGATGACATCAGCACATGGAAGAGCAGAGAGCCAAAGAATCATGAAGAGTTGAACTTTAGAACTGTGTATGGAGCCTGGCCGACCACTGAACTTGCTAGTTGAGAAGACAAATGCCTTTCTTTCTTTCTTTTTTTTTTTTTAGCTAGTCTGATTCCAGAATTTTTTTGCCCTTTATGTCTGTAAATACTGCAACTGATACAGTTGAGATGTACCTTGGAGATTACATGTCAACATTCTAGTTAACGATGAGTGTTACTTTGCTTACCCCTGTCTCTTTTATGCATACTATTCAATTGACTTACGTAGAGATGTGACAATGCCAGCAGGCAAGATTTGGGCTTTCCTGCATTCCTGAATGAACAAGATTATAATGTCACATGGATACAACCCCTTAATAGCCTCGTTTTTATTGCCAATCAGCAAGCAGTCTTTCCATTGCTGAAAGAGAATATGTAAATTTCCCTTATGACATTTAAAGAGAGGAGACTACCTGGAGTAGCCATTTCATTTACTAATTAATTCGCTGATATATTCAGCAAACATTTATTGAGCACCTGCTCGGTATCAGACACTGTGCTCATAGCCAGGGCTACAACAATAAAGAAGTTAGAACAGATTTACATGGATACACGTGGAAATATGTAAACAGCATTTGATTACAACTATTTTATGTACTGTTCAGAGTGTATTATGCCTGAGTTTTTCTGGATAATCATTTCCCCTGTGCTCAGGTAGATATGGCCGCACCTTAGCTCTGCCCTGATGGTGCCAGGACTGATGTATCAAATTATAAGAGCAATTGTATGGGCAAAAATCTCAGCCCTAATGGATTTTGTATCTAAATAGTAAAATAGAAAGTAATTAAGTAATCAAACAAATAAATATATGATTTCAAATTATAATAGTTATGAAGGAAACAGAGTACAATGGTAAATAATGGGAGAGGAAGAGGTAGTTGGATGGTGAGGCTGCAGGATATGAAGATGCCAGCCATATGAGAGCCAGGGTGAAAATACTTCAGGAGAGAGAAGAGAATGTACACGGTCCCTGTAGCGTTGAGAGAAGTTGGCATGCTGGAGAGACTGAAATAAAGCACAGTAGGCATGGGGGAGAGTGGAACTAGATAAAAGGAAAAAGATAGGTAGTCATTCGTTAATGTTAGAACATGGATGTTTCTGGGTACCATTTTTCAAGATTACACCTTTAATAGTGGCACTCTAATCCGCTTGATTTTGGTCTCCTTAGTAGGAGTGGAAGGAGAGGGGAAGTGAAACAGAGTGGTTTAAGAGTATTTATAATGAGCCTGGCAGCCTGTGCTTGAATTCTGACTCAGCCACTTTGTTAACCATGTGACATTAGGCATGCTATTTCTACTCTCTGGGCCTCAGTTTCTTGATGTGTACAATAAGGATAATCATAGTGCCTACTCTGCTATTCTGTAAAGTTGTTGTGAGCATTAAATGGTCGATGTATGTCAGGTGCTTAGAATAATACCTAATACAGAGCAAGTACTTAATAAGCATTGGTTTTTCAAAAGGGAGGAAGGCGTTAGTGGAGGTGCAGCTAGTGTCTCAGGGATTCTTTGAGGGTATTTCACGCATGTGGACTTCATTAGTCATTTGGTCCATGAAAAAAGGAAAGATTGAGAGCTGCTTATTTTTGCTATGGAGTAAGTGATGTGGTAGCCAAGAAATGAATATGCCAGACATATATGAAAAAAAGCTAATGGTATTGACAGCTCTTTCATTTGGGCTTGTTTGTGTCAGGAGGATGCATCCCTGTTCCCTCTGAAGTGTGGATCAATTGAGACATAGTTTACAGAACTAGATACAAATTTTGATTTACAGTGACAAAGTCAATAAACATTACACTTTTTTTTTCAAATAATGGCTCATTTCTGTATATCTCTACTATGGCGAATGACCCCCTAAGGTGAGAAACTTTTTTAGATGATGATAAAAGCTTGCTTTGGGAATAGAGGGAAAAGAGTTAAGAGGAACAATTTCAAAGAGTTTTATTTTAAAAGGGGACAAAACAATGGGACAGAAGCTGGAAGAGGATGTAGGGGCTGAGACAGCTTTCTTTAAAAAATATGGGATCTATTATATAATATTTGGATGCTGAAGGCTATTATCTAGTGTGTAGCAAAATATTGGTGTTGCAGGAGACTGGAGTCAATCTCACGAACAAAGTCCTTGTGTAGATAAGGAGGCTCCAGTGCCCTGATGAAGTGTTACTTTACAGGGCAGCCGGGACAGATCACCCATTATAGCAATAGGGGAAGTGGAGTTTATAGAGAAGAGAGAATTTCCTAAGGAAATATGATTAGGTTCCTGAGAAATACAGAGTATACAGTTGAGAACTGTGGCCCTAAATGGAATGTAAGATGAGTCAGTCAGTATTATTGCTATTTTTCTGTAGCCACATTTGGCTGCGTAAACAAAAGCTCCAGAGATTTATGTTTGAGTAGTGCTAGAATGTTGTCAATAGAGAGAAAGAAGAGAAAGAGAAGGGCACGGAGTTTTACTGACATATATTTAACTCCCTTGTTAACAGATGCTGGCCTCCAGAAGCTATGATGGGTAAGAGGAGAAGGAAGTAATAAACAGTTGAAAGAGCAATAGGTTAATTGTGTTAGAGGTCTTCATATGGTCACAAAGCTGGTGGAATGGATGTAGTACTATCAGCAATCAGGAAAGGCAGAAGATAGTAAGAGATCGTTCATTTATTAGTGATACTAAGGTTTATAAAGTTAGACTTAAAATTTTCTAAGAATTGATATCATGTAGACCACACAATCAATGAAAATGTAGATGACTAATTGAATATCATAGGTTTTAAAAATTAAAAGGAAATTACTGAGTAGTTCATGAGTCCAAGAATAAATCATGATATTAATTAGAAAATGCCTATGTACAATAAGGAAAACATTACATATCAAAACTTACTGGACACAGCTCAAGTAGCACATAGAGGGACATGTGTAGTCTTAAAACTTCCATGAGATGGGTGAGCTGAAAATAATGAGCAAGTAATTCCAGATAATAAGTTAGAGAAATAACAAATAAGAAACCCAAATAAAGTAGAAGAAAATAATAAGGATAATAACAGGAATGTATTAAGTAGAAACATATATAGAAGAGAGGTCAGCAAAGCCAGAAGCTTAATATGTAAAAAGATAATTAAAATTGATAGATCTCAGATAAATTTATCAAGAAAAAAGAAAGAACAAAGAATACACAGTGGAAATGAAAACGTGATGTAATGACAGATGCAGTAGAGATGACAAGGGTAAGAGGATATTATAAACAGTTTTATGACAAAGTATTTGAAAATGTGTGGTATATAGACAAAATGCTAGAAAAAGAGACATTACCAAATGTATTCAAGAAAAAATGGAAACCTGGATTTGTCTCATAAATATAAAAGAAATGAAATCTGCATTTAAAAGTCTTTCCATGAAGAAAACATAAAGCCCAGGTGGTTTTATAATGTATTTTTTTCAATAGTTTAAGGAAGAGATAAATTTACTATTTGCAAAATTCTTCAGTAAATATAAACAAACAAATAAACAAAATATCCTTCTTTTCGTGAGGCTAGTAGAACCATAATAGCAAAGAAAGCAAAGAGCAATATGAAAAATGATAAGTACAGCCCAGCCCACACATGCACATAGATGCAAAAATCCTAATATATGGAACGCAGATCTTCAAATGTATCCACTAACTGGCCACTTCTCACTGCTTCTTTCATTACCATCCTGAGATAAGCCACCATCACCTTTGCCTTGAATTAGTATTCTATTGATATCCCTGCTGTACCTTTGCCCCCAATTCAACACAGCAGCCAGAGGGATCCTTCTGAAATGCACATCAGGTCCTATTCTTCCACTACTCAGAACTCTCCAGTGACTCCACATCTCAATCAGTGAAACCTAAAGCCCTCACAATGGTCTTCAAGGCCCTAGAGCAAAGGATGGCTAACTGTGGCCCATGGGCCAATTCCAGCCTGCTAACTATTTTTGTATGGCCCATGTGAGCCAATAATTTTAAAATTTTATTTTAATATTTGAAAAAAATAAAGAAAATTTCATGATGTGCAAACTGTATGAAATTCAAATGTCAGTGGTTTCAAGTAAAGTCTTACTGGCACACATCGACATCCGTTTGTTTACGTACTATGTAAGGCTGCATTGTATAACAACCAGCAACACTGACACCTTTATTTGTTAAAAACGCAAGGCATACCTCTGAAATTGCTGTCCCCTCTGCCTGGATTGCTCTTCCAGTTAGCAGAATGGCCCAGTCCCTCCCTAATTCTTTCAGGTCACTTTATCACTGAGCCTTTCTTGGCCACCCCGTATAAAACTTAAATCCATTCTATCCTGACCTGGCTAGTCCCCACTCTATTTTCCTGATTTGTTTTTCTCCATTGCACTGGTCACCATCGAATATCCTTTCTATATTTTACTTATATATTTTATTTTTTTGGTCTCATGATGGGGAGTATTTTTCTTTTGTTGACTGCTGGCCTGACATATAGAAAGTGCTCAATAGATATTGAGTAAATGAATAGATAAGTTGGTGATTAATAAAAGTAGCCAGAATTATTGCATAGTCATTATAAGTTAGACACTGCATTTTAAAATATTTGTCTTTAATTCACAGAACAATAATGCAATGTGGCATCACTAGCCCCATTCTCTGAAGCAAGTAGCTAAGGTTCAAAGAGGTTATGTAACATACCCAAGTCTGAGAAGGAATACAGAAATTCAGGTCACTAGTGAGCATTGTAGACTTTAGAAGAAAGGCATTAATTAAGCATGGGGGAGATTATTTTGAGAAGATTCTGAGCTGACCAAGTCCCCCTGATATCCTGGGCTATTAACATATTTAAGAAACATATTTTGCTGGTTCGAGGAGTGATTTAAACAGGGACAGGGATCTTTATTCTATTTGCAATGAAGCGAATCAGATTCTATAGCAATTCAAAAGAAATTCAAGTTTGGAAAAAAGACCTCTGAATAAATCGGTCACTAGGCAGGGATGGCAAACATGCTTATCGTGTTTCGTTAAGTGCCACTTGTCATGGTGATATCACAGATGACGACTATAAAATAAATATCACATGGAGTTAAAAAGAGCTATGGAGACAGAATGCATTGCAAAGATCTAATAACTAGTGCAAGTGAAATATTTTGTAGTATTAAAGTGAAACTAATAACAGTCATTATGGATCAACACTGCTGCACTGAGGGACAAATATTCCATTTGCTCTGAGGATTGAGGAGTCTAATTTTATAGTTGGTAATTTTATAGCTGCACAAAGTTCTTTTATGAAACCATGTAGCAATATTTAATGTTTCAGGATCAAATATTGTATTTATTTTTTCTCTTTCTTCTAGGGAAAATAAAGTTGCAACGGCTTTTTCCTGGAGTTTATCAAGGTTGACAAGTGAAGTTTTATGAATATGATTTCTATATCATCTCTTAAGGTTGCTGCAGTAAATATCCATAAGGTAAGTCAAACAAGTACATGGAGTTATTTCAGTGACTGATGCTTACCTGTGGGTTCACATTAAAACCACCTGGAAAGTTTATAAAAAATGACTTATGTCTGCCTGGCACCAGAGATTTTAATAAATTTCAAAAAACCAGCTTTTTGTTCCCTTTATCTTTTGTGATTTTATTGTTTCAATTTCATTTAGTTCAGCTCTGATCTTTGTTACTTCTTTTCTTCTGCTGGGTTTGGATTTAGTTTGTTCTTCTTTCTCTAGTTCCATGAGGGTTTCTGTCTTGATGACCTGTCTGGTGCTGTCGATGGAGTCTTGGAGTCCCCCACTATTATTGTGTTGCTGTGTATCTCATTTTTTAGGTCTAGTAGTAATTGTTTTATAAATTTGGGAGTGCCAGTGTTAGATGCATATATAGGTAGAATTGTAATGTTTTCCTATTAGACTAGTCCTTTCATCATTATATAATGTTCCTCTTTATCTTTTTTAACTGCTGTTGCTTTAAAGTTTGTTTTGTCTGATATAAGAACAGCTACTCCTGCTCATTTTAGGCATCTATTTGCCTGGAATATCTTTTCCCACCCCTTTAATTTAAGGCCCATGATATGGACCTTCGGGTTTCCCAGTGTTTTGTTTGGGGACAGACATTTACCTTCTTAAACTTTGGGCACTCACAGTTTTTGTCTGTCTTACAGAGCCTGCAATGGCAAGCTGCCTCCTGCATAGGGTGTGTGGATTCTCTGGGCTTTTCTGATATGTTCCTGTAGTAGTTCTTGGAACAAAAGTTCGTGATGTGAGTCTCCGCATGCTGCTCTGTCTGTCCAAGCAGGAGCTGCAAGTTAGCCTTGCTTCCTATCTGCCATTTTTCTCTAATTTTCAATTCATTATTTTATTCAGCCTTCTAATGAATTGTGATATGAATTACCAGAGACTGAGAATCAAAGTAAGGATTGCAGGGATTTCTCCACTTGGCTCTTCAAAGTGCCAAGAAAAGACCAATAATATTCACATGAATGGATTTTATTTCATTTCACCAGATACTAGATGTTGAAAGGAACTGACTTACAGTGGTTCAGAGTACAGGTACTGTAGGCAAACTGTGTAATTTTGGTTCCCCGGTCAGCCACTAATTAACTCTGTGTATTGTGATAAGTTACATACCTTCTCTGTTCTATAGTGTTTATAACAGGGCTAACAATAATCTCTAGTGTAAAATAATACATGTTTTCTGTAACAAATATTATTAGAGTTGTTTTGTGCTAAGTGAAAGCTATAGCTGAAAGACTCAATGAGGATGATGAAAAGATTTAGCTTTACAAGGAGTCTGTGGGTTCTGGATCCAAGGAGACTCTGCCACTCTTCCTGGGTAATCTCATTCACTCCAATTAAAATCATTCTCATCTGTATGTAGATTTTCTTAAATCATTAGTCCCGGCCCAGATTGTCTCTTAAGTTCAGGTGCTATATTGTACTTACAAATTTCTCTGGGTCATCTCCAACTGGATGTCTCATAAGAAACTGCAATTCGTCATGCCTAAACTCTCATTTACTCGATCACATTCCAGTTTCCTCTGCTCCTTCCCCTGTCAATATTGGATAATAGCCTCACCATCTACCTCAGAAAGACCTATTATTTCAAGCCCTCTTCGCCATTCTTATCATGTCTGCTTTATTCCAGGCTTAGAAGGCAGCATGGCAGAGTGAAAAGAGTGATAAGTTACTTATCTTTTCACTTGTAAAATCATTATGTAAAAATCTGCCTTTGTCAGGTAGAGAAAAAAAGTGGAAAGAGTACAGACTACAGGATCTATTCCCACTTTGCTACTTACATGATGTGCCTTGGCAAAATTACTGAATCTTTGATCCTCAGTTTACTCATCTGTAAAATGGTGATCCTAATACCTACCTTGAGTGTAATGCCCTGCATAATAGAGACAGAAGAAGTTCAAGAAATGTAAGCCTCCTTTTGAATCTGTTGATACATGTCATCTGATCTTGTAAGCAGCTTAGCTCAGCAGTCGAAGAACAGTTTAAAATAATTGTATTCTTTACTGGCATCTCTTGAGGAGTGTTAGTGTGAGATCTAACTTGCAATCCACTGGACTAAGCCTTAAAGTCTTCTTCTTCCATTCCTTAATTCCCTTTCAGTTACATCTTCCCCAGAGCCATTCCCATGTCTAACTTATCTCTTCAACTCCAAACCTGACTCAATGTGATTAAAAACAAACATACAATCAGACCAAAAACAACAAACAAACAAACAAACAAAACCTTTATCCATTTCATTGTCATCTCTTCTACTTCTTTTACATCCACTCATCCTCTCTCCCAGAAAGCAAGAATCCTTAGGCTTCCAAAGGCTAAAGGAAGAAAGCAAGTGGCTGTGTGTGTTGGTGGTGGGAGAGAAGGACAAGGGAAGAAACCAAGAGGGAAAATATAAAATTATCTTTTCCTTGGAGTGGGTGGCAGCCTGCAAAGCTTCAAAAGTCAACAAAGCAATGTAGATGCTGTCACAGGAGCCATTATTCAAAGCATTAACATCTCTTGTCTATTGCTATAGCCTCCTAACCTGATCTCCATCTCCCTCCAGTCTCTCAATGACCAATCCATCTTTTATACTACCACTAGAATATTTTTTTTTCTGTAAAAAAAGCTCTTGAGATAGCAATATTTCTCTGCCACTCCCAGCCCAGGCTCTCCACCAACTGTACGATAAAGTCCAAAGCCTCTAGCACAGTATATAAGCACAATCTAGGCTTCTATATGTTTTTTGGTTTTTTTTTTCCAAATTATCCAATTCCACTGATCCCCTTCCTGCCCCCACCCCTGCGACTTAATCAAGATACTAACTAGTGAGAACACATTGTCCTGTTCCAGGTGTCAATAAATCTGCATATATTGTTGTCTTTGGAAGATCAGCCTGTCTTTTTCTTTATGTGTATGTTTGTATATTCATACTTGAGGGCACTAAGTACTAGGTTTTTCTCTTTTTTTGGTTATCCACAGGGAACTCTACTTCCGATATTTTGTACAACACATTCATTAGATGACAACTAGTTAGCAAGTGCCTCTATGCCCCAGGTCACAACATACCTCCTAGAGCAGATCCAGGAGTAGAAATGTTGCTTCTCTTTGTCTTTCATGTCCTGTATTCTCTCCACTACACCATGTTGCATTCTTAGTATCAGATTCTATGTTAGGAATTAAGGATGAAATCATCTTGGAATATTCATCTGCTTTGAAAATCTCTTAGTAAATATAATGTCTGCTTGACTTAAGTTATAACTAAAGCTTTCTGACATTCCCTAATGACATTAGGGAACAGATTTCTATTGCTGGTCCCCTTTTGTGTTTTTCTATAACTGTGTCTTACCCTGTTAACCATGACTGAGACACAATTTTTGATATTTTTCGCTGGTGCTTACATGCATCCCTTGCCATGACCATTGAAAGTGCATCAATAATTATGCTGTGCTTTCTGACAAGGAAAAAACTGGAATGACCTTGTGCGGCCTCAGGGAGGCAAGTGGATGAAACCCCAGCTGTGTCACAGAGTTCCAATTTACTGCCAGTCTGCTGATTATATGCTTGCATATTTCCTGAAATAGTGAAAAGCCGTCAAGTTGTAAAGCAAATAGACAACATGGCCAATGGTGAGGGTTTGTAATCTGAGAATTTGGTGAAGTGAGCATTGAATAGCTGTATTGATGCTCTCGAACTGTGTGAGGAATGTTTATACCACTTAAGAATCATAAAGTAAGGTATTTTTTTGAAGTGTTCCTATTTCAAGGTGAATGTGGCTGATACAACATCAGCTACCAGAAAGCAGACCAAGAAATAAAGATACCGTCACATCCAACATGACAGTATTTGGAAAGCCTGTACTTATGGGATTCAGGTTTACCATGCTTTTTATCTTAGAGGGTGCTTTTATAAACTCTATTTAATTTGATCCTAGTGACAGCTGTAATGTAAGGATAGTGATAATTATCATCATTTTATCCATGAGGAAACTGAGGCACAGAGTGGAGATGACTTGGCCAAAGTCACTCAGCTTGTCAGTAGTAGAGCTCAGGTCTGTCATTTTACAGTATCACACTGCTGTCTCTCTCTTAAATAATGCATTCTTTATAAGACCAGAAGATAGAGAGAGAAGAGTGGGAAAGGGGAGTAACCAGCTATGAAATTTCACAGTTAGCTAAATGCTGTGCTAGCTGCTTTTTATCTCCTTTCAGCCTCTCAAAAACTCTATTAGGTCCTTGTCTTCCTGCAACTGAAGAGGTTGCCAGGAGTTAGCAGTTTCAGTGCTAAAACCAAAAAGATGTGGTTAATGTATGTAAAATATTGTGAATTTCATTGAGGGGATATGAAATTTGAGGTTTGGCATGATTGGGCAACTTGTCCCCAGAAATGTATGTTTTTTTTTTTGTTGTCGTTGTTGTTTTTTGTTGTTGTTGTTTTGTTTGTTTGAGACAGAGTCTTGCTCTATAGCCAGGCTGGAGTGCAGCGGTGCAATCTCGGCTCACTGCAACCTCTGCCTCCCAGTTTCAATCGATTCCCTTGCCTCAGCCTCCCGAGTAGCTGGGACTACAGGCACGTGCCACCATACCCAGCTAATTTTTGTATTTTAGTAGAGACGGGGTTTCACCATGTTGGCCAGGATGGTCTCGATCTTCTGACCTTGTGATCCTCCCACCTTGGCCTCCCAAAGTGCTGGGATTACAGGCGTGAGCCATCACACCCAGCCAAAATTTCAATGTTAGCTAAATGCTGTGCTAGCTGCTTTTTATCTCCTTTCACCCTCTCAAAAACTCTATTAGGTCTTTGTCTTTCTGCAGCTGAAGAGGTTGCCAGGAGTTAGTAGTTTCAGTGCTGAGACCAAAAAGATGTGGTCAACATAATGTAAAATATTGTGAATTTCATTGAATGGATATGAAATTTCTGGCAATGTTTGTACATATGAACAAAATAATTTTACACTCATGCTCTCAATAAATCCATGTTTTAAGTGCATGTTTGGTGGAAATTAATATTCTATATTGGAAATATAGTAATGAGAAGTAATTTTAGAAAAAAGATGGTTTAAAAATGCATTTAATTAAAACATGAAAATTTACATTATTTAGAATCTGACTTTTTATTACAGTTTTTCAACTTAATTTACAATAAGATAATAGAGGAAGACATAATATGAAAATTAAACTTTGAAAAGAGAAGGGCTTAAGAAGAGATAAAACTGAAAATGTACAAAGAAATGTCAAAAGGTTATTTTTTGTATTAGCTTTAAAACTGTTGGTTGAAGAAAAGTTGGGAAAATGAAAAACCTTATTAAACAGTTACCTAAAAATATAAAATAAGTCCTAGGGAATAGTTACCAGAAAGGGGAAGTTCTGTGACTGAGGAATGATTTAATATAATAATATAGCTGAATCAAAGGATCAGAGAGGAGGCTGGTTGGAAATAAGAGTAATTCTCTGGAACATGTTGACCTACCTGTTGGAGGATGGGAACGACCTGTGAGGATGGGTTTGGTTTTAAAACTGTTTTTCCAGTAATGAAGTCCTAATTTGCATGGCTGCATCGTCAATTTCCATATCTCTGGTTAGAAAACTAAAAAGGCACAGAACTCGAAGATGTAATGGTGCATACGATTTGAAATCTCATACACGCAGGGCACAGCCAAAACCTACTTTTTCTTTTAGGGAGGCTGTATATTCAACCTAAACCCTCATTAGGAAAGTTTAACTATGAATGCTAACCCAGGGGTCCCTGGCAATGCTGCCACCAGGAGTCTGCAAGTGTCTCAGGTTATAATAGTTTTGACAGAGTAGTCTATGCACTTGGATAATTTATACAAAACCTCTTTTCTGAAGGAATTCACGTAAGTGAGAGGAGACTGTCAATTTCTACCAGAAATCAAACTATATATAAACACCAAAATAGTATTTAAACCTATGAATGGCTTCAATAATATGTCAATTAATAATATAAAGCCCTATGAGTAAAAAGTACATTATAAACTCAGTTTCAACATGAGATAATTAAATATACAATATAATAGTAAGATACTTAATATCCTCTTATCTTTATCCTTGTTTCCTTAAGAATTGTGGTTAAGGCTATTACTCCTCACAACTTTATGTATAAACTAATTTTTCTCATTTTCCCATTTTTTCTGTAACTAGTTTCTGGCAAGAGCCTAAATATAGACACTCCCTTAACCTAATTAAGAATGCATTAAGTTAATTAGGTCATGTATAATATACTTTCTATATCAATCAGCCTCAAGCCTGGAGACTTATTTTCCCTCAGTCAAATTTCTGGCATTTCCTTTACCCGTCATGTCTCTAGAGAATCCCTGTCAGTTTTCTTCATCCTCTGTCAGAAAATGGAGACCAACCTCCTCTACCTCTTCTTTATCTAAATGTTTACTCAACTCAATGTTACACAAGATTATAAGCATCTAATGTCCCTGCTTTCAAACAATTCCATTATAAATTACCCAAGGTTTTCGTTACCAGTAGGAATGTTGAAAGCACTCAATTAATATTCACTGACTGTGTTCTTATTAAATACAAAAGTGCTCATCTTGTAAAATCTACCTTTAGCAGCCTGAGAAATTGAGTGGACATATATAGGTGCTGACTTCCCCACCTGACAGTATGAAAACAATAAGGGATGCAGCTATTCTGCTGAAGGATTACGTATGAAAATATCACAAACTTGTAACATACTAATATTACACCATGAAGCTATAAATATAATGCCTGCAATGTAGCCAAAGTTGCATGAACAAATAATGAAATTCTGAGTGGCTTCCCTCTGTGAGTTTAGAGTTTAGCAGTTGCACTTAGCTGTCACATGCATATTTCTTCTAAGGTATTATGACAACTACTTAAATTCCCTTCTTCAAATTCAAAGAAGATAATGTAACATCACTGTAGACCATGCCTGGCAGAAAATGGCCACACATAACTACTGAGTGACCAATCATGACTAGAAAGAGATGTATCTTTCTTAAGATAATGTTTATAAAATTACACCCCATATCATTAATGAACTAGATAAGCGAAAGTATGTCAGGCACAGGGTGACCTGGTCTTCTTGAAGTCATTGAGCTACATAAAACATTCCCTCAGGAGAAACAGATCAAGATGGCAGAATAGAAGGCTTCACGAAACACCCCCCACACAAGGATACAACATTAACAACTACACACAAAAAAAGCACTTTCATAAGCACCAAAAATCATGTGAGAACACACAATACCTGGTTTTAACTTCATTTCACTGAAAGGGACGCTGAAGAGGTAGGAAAAATAATGTCGAATCACAGGTGCTACCCCTCCCCCATCACCTGCAGCAGTGGCATAGTGCAGAGAGCAATTCTGTATGCTGGGGAGACAGAGACTGTAGCAATTGTGAGGCATTGAATTCAGTGCTGCCCTCTTGGGCCAGAAGGGACCCCACTGCCTTGAAGGGAAGGGCCCAGTCCCGGTAGGATACATCACCTGTTAACTGAAGAGACCTTGGGTCATGAATAACCAGTAGTGATGAACACCAAGTAAGCTCCTGGGGTCTCCAATTCCGGACCTTGGCTCTTGAATAGTATTTCTGGAATGGCTCTGGGCCAGAGTGGAGCCCACTGCTCTGAAGGGTGCATCCCAGGCCAGGCAGCATTCACTGCAAGCTGACTGAAGAGACCTTGGGCATAAAGGGAAAATTGGTACCCTGGGAGAAAAAAGGTACCCTGGGAGAACTGCTTGTGGGCCTGTAGTACTGTTGGTTACAGGGTGAAGCTTCTCTGACACTGGAAGGGGGCAGGCAGAGTGGAAAGGACTGCATTTCGTGCTTTTAGTGCCAGCACAGCAGCAGGACAATAGAGCACCAGGTAGACTTCTAAGGTTTTTTTACTCTAGTCCCTGGCGCTCAGAGGATGGCACATCTGGACCCACCTGGGGCTTGAGGGAGCTCACTGCCATGAAAGGAAGCACACAGGCCTGGCTGGCTTTAGTACCTGCTGATTGTAGAGAGTCACGGAGCCAGATTTGAGGCTTGTAAGACAGGGAGCGATTACAGTGGACCTTAGGTGAGAATCAATACCATGCTGGCTTGAGGTCTGACCCAGTTTAGTCCCAGTGGTGGTGGCCACAGGGGTGCTTGTGTCACTCCACCCTCAGCTCCAGGCAGCTCAGAAAAGAGAGGGGATACTGTGTGTTTGGGAGAAAGTAAGGGAATAGAACAAGAGTCTCTGCCTGGTGATCCAGAGTATTCTTTCAGATCTTACCCAAGACCATCAAGGTAGTACCTCTACAAGTCCATAAAAACCATAGCATTTCTGGGATTAGGGTGCCTCCTAAAGCAGATACAGCTTAGATCACAACATAAAAGTCTTTTCGAATACCCAGAAAGTCTTTCCAAGTAGAACAGGTACAAACAAGCCCATACTGTGAACACTACAATAAATACCTAACTCTTCAATGCCCAGACACAGATGAATATCCACAAGCATCAAGATCATCCCGGAAATCATGACCTCACCGAATGAAATAAGGCACCAGGGTTCAATCCTGGAGAACAGACATATGTGAACTTCCAGACAGAAAATTCAAAATGGTTGTCTTGATAAAACTCAAAGAAATTCAAGATAACACAGAAGGAATTTAGAATTATATTAGATAAATTGAACAGAGATTGAAATAATTAAAACAAATCAAGCAGAAATTCTTGAGTTAAAAAATGCAATTGGCATACTGAGGAATGCATCAGCACTCTTTAATAGCAGAATTCATCAAGCAGAAGAAAGAATTAGTGAGCTTGAAGGTAGGTTATTTCAAAATACACATGGAGAGAAAACAAAACAAAAAGAATAAAAAACAATGAAGCATACTTACGGGATCTAGAAAGTACCCTCAAAAGCCAAATCTAAGAGTAACTGGCCTTAAAGAGGAGGCAGAGTAAGAGAGGGGGTAGAACATTTATTCAAAGGGATAATAACAGAGAACATCTCAAACCTAGAGAAAAATATCAATATTCAAGTACAAGAAGGCTATAGAACACTAAGCAGATTAACCCAAAGAAGACTACCTCAAGGAATGTATTAATTAAACTTCCAAATGTCATGGAAAAGGGGTCCTAAAAGCAGCAAGAGAAAAGAAACAAATGACATACAATGGAGCTCTAATACATCTGACTGCAGACTTTTCAATGGAAACCTTACAGGCAGGAGAAAGTGACATGACATATTTAACATGCTGAAGGAAAACTTTTACCCTAGAATAGCATATCCAGTGAAAATATCTTTCCAACGTGAAGGAGAAATAAAAACATTCCCAACTAAAAGCTGAGGGATTTCATCAACACCGGATCTGTCCTACAGGAAATGCTGAAGGGACTAATTCAATCAGAAAGAAAAGGATGTTAATGAGCAATGAATAATCACCTGAAGGTGCAAAACTCACTGACAATAGTAAGTACACAGAAAAGCACAGAATATTATGAAACTGTAACTGTGGTGTGTAAACAATTCTTATCCTACATCGAAAGACTAAATAATGAACCAATCAAAAATAATAAACACAGCAACTTTTCAAGACGTGGACAATACAAGGGGCTATACATAGAAACAACAAAAGTCAAAATGCCTGGGAATGAAATCAAGGTGTAGAAATTTTATTAGTATTTTTTTTGCTTATTTCTTTGATTGTGCAAACAGCATGAAGTTGTTATCACATTAAAATAATAGGTTATGAGATACTGTTTGCAAGCCTCATGGTAACCTTAAAGCAAACTTATACAATGGATGCACAAGAAATAAAAATAAAAAATTAAATCCTACCACCAGAAAACAATATCAAAGATCAATGAAACAAAAATCAGGTTTTTCAAAAAGTTCAACAAAGTTGATACACCTTTAGTCAGACTAACTAAGAAAAAATAAGACCCAAATAAATAAAATCATAGATGAAAAAGAAGACATTACAGCTGATATTACAGGAATTCAAAGGATTACTACTGGCTACTGTGAGCAATTGTATGCTAATAGAGTAGAAAATCTAGAAAAAGTGGACAAATTTCTAGATACATACAACTTACCAAGATTTAACCATGAAGAAATCCAAAACTTGAACAAACCTATAAAAAGTAACAAGAAGGAAGCCATAATAAAAAGTCTCCCAGTAAAGAAAAGCTCAGAACCTGGTGGTTTTACTGCAGAATTGTATCAGGCATTTAATGAAATAATACCAATCTTACTCAAGGTATTCTAAAAACAGAGGGGATGAGAATACTTCCACATTCATTCTATAGGCTAGTATTACCTTGTTACCAAAACAAAACAAAGACACCTCAAAAAAAGAAAACTTCAGGCCAATCTCTCTGACAAATATTGCAAAAATCCTCAACAAAATAATGGCAAACTGAATTCAACAATGCATTAAAAAGATAATTTATCGTGACCAAGTATGATTTATTCCTGGGATACAAGGATGGTTCAACATACACAAATCAATCAATGTGATACATCATATCAACAAAATGGAGGACAAAAAACATGACTATTTCAATTAATGATGAAGAACATTTTATAAAATTCAGTGTGCTTTCATGATTAAAAAAAAAACCCTCAGAAAACTGAGAAGAAGCATACCTCAACATAAAAACCATACACAATAGACTTGCAGCTAGCACTATACTAAATGACAAAAAACTGAAAGCCTTTCCTCTAAGGTCTGGAATAACACAAGCATTCCTACTTTCCCCACTGATATTCAACATAGTACTAGAAGTCCCAGAGGGAGGGAGGGAGGATTCAAATTGGAAAGGAAGAAGTCAAATTATCCTTGTTTGCAGATGATATGATCTTATATTTGGAAAAAAAACCTAAAGACACTGCCAGAAAATAGAACTGATAAACAAATTCAGTTGATAAACAATGAAGTTGCAGGATACAAGATTAACATACAAAATTCAGTATCATTTCTATATAGCAACAGTGAACAATCTGAAAAAGAAACAAAAACATAATGCCATTTATAACAGCCACAAATAAAATCAAATACCTAGGAATCAACCAGAGAAATGAAAGATAGCTACAGTGAAAACTATAACACACTGATGAAAGAAATTAAAGAGGACACCAAAAATGAAAGTTACTCAGAAACTTAAAAATAGAGCTACTATACGATCCAGCAAACCCACTGTAGGTATAGACTCAAAAGAAGGGAAATCAGTATATTGAAGAGATACCTGCACTCCAATGTTTGTTGCAGCACTATTCACAGAAGCCAAAATTTGGAAGCAACCTAAGTGTCCATCAACAGATAAATAAATGAAATCTGGTACCTATACACAATGAAATACTATTCAGCCATAAAAAAGAATGAGGTCCTGTCATATGCAACAACATGGATGGAACTGGAGGTCATTACATTAAGTGAAATAAGCCAAGCATAGAAAGACAAACAGCTCATGTTCTCACTTTAGGATCTAAAAATCAAAACAGTTGAACTCATGGATATAGAAAGTAGAAGGAGGCTTACTAGAGGCTGAAAAGGGTAGTGGAGGAATGGGGAGTATGTGGGGATGGTTAATGTGTACCAAAAATTAATTAGAATAAATGAATAAGACCTAGTATTTGCTGGGACAACAGAGTGACTATAGTCAATAATAACTTAACTATACATTTCAAAATAACTAAAATAGTATAATTGGATTGTAACACAAAGGATACATGCTTGAGGGGATGGATACCCCATTTTCCATGATGTGACTATTACATGTTGCAAGCCTGTATCAAAACTTCTCATGTACCCATACATATATACACCTTATATACACCTACTATGTATCCACAAAACTTAAATTTTTAAAAATCCCCTTGGTATGAGTGAGCACTATGGTGTCTCAATGCAGCAGCAAATAAATTCCACATGTATCAGTCTTATATGTATACTCTCTGCTCACAATATTTTATAAGTAAAACTGTTCATAAAAAGAAGGGTGCACTGGAAAAGTTATAGACATCTATCACTCCAGCTGGGATAAATAAAAAGATATGTAAATTAGAAAAAATTGGAAAATAAAGCATAATTCAAATTCTTACTTGCCCATAATTCAACATCATCTATGGGCACTGGCTGAGCACTCGGTGCTGTCACTTTTATGTCCCTTCACTACTTGTCTTTCCAGTGTAATCTCCCACTTGCCTATATATGTGGCAGGACAATTGTTAATTGTCATTCTTAAGTATCTACAGTAATTTTACACGATGGCTAGGAACTTTTTTTGTGCATGTGTTCTCTGCTGCTAAAATAATTAGATCTTGACTCCAAATTAGTTAAAATCTGAGAATCAATTCTCTCCTGGTTTTTGTTTGTTTGCTTGCTGGTTTTGTTTTTAGTTCATGTTCCTGGTTATGCTTAGGGTTCAGATGTTAAGCTTGGATTACGTCTTTTCAGTTGTCACGTGGATATTCTATTCAGAAGCTGAATACTGATTTCTATTATTAGGATACATTTTATTGTTTGCTTTCCCTCTTTTCTCACCTAAAATTTTACTTGACTGCTGAGAAAACACAGTACCCCAATTCTCTTGGTATTTTTCTACTCTATTAGGACATAAAATCTTCCGCATTTATCTAGCATTTTGTCTGTTTAAATTCAAATATGCCTCTTTGCCCTCATCCTTCCAGAAAAGCTGTGACCCTTATTATAATTTCCAACTTCTGGTTTTCAGTTTCTTAGAGACTTTTGTTAAGCTGGGAAATGATAATGGCTGCCAAGTGGTAATGGTACAGAGTTGTGGCTCATGCATTAACTATTTTGTAACTGTTTAACCCCCTTTTATTTTTAAGTTCTGATAACTTTGCTTATTATCCCTAATTATCAAATTTTACATCTCTTTTAAATTACAAAGGCCATGAAGAAAACACATTTTAGAAAAGTCCTTTTTTTAGTCCTAGCTTTCTTTCTAAGATGATGTAGTGATAGCAAATTAATTTTTGTTTAGCTATTTCCTGTTTGTTTAGTAACAAATAGGAGATAATGGAAGCTGTTCAAAAAAGGTAGAGGAATTATGAAACCAAAAGAACTGAGCAGGTGGATGTATTTTCTCCTAGAGGGATAAGGAAAAAGACATACAGCATGAAATTAAATGGGACAAGAAAGAAAAATAGCATATGCCAAATAATAAATTAAGAAAAAAAGATGATGGGTAGGTGAAAAAGACATATGAGGCTTCTTGGAAAAAAGCTGAAGTCTAGGCCATTTATCAAAGCCTAGAGTGGACATCTAGAGGAAATGAAGATGGAGAGAGAGGAAGGAAGCAGGGTAGGCAGGGTGTGGGAAAGAGAGCAAGAGAAGGAGAGGCAGAGGGAGGGAGAAGTAGGAATAGAGAGAAGATGGCACAGGGATCAAGGAGGTAGAGAGTAAAAGAAGAAGGGGTGTTGAAAGAGGCAGGGTGGGAGGGGGAAGAGAGGGAAAGTGAGCAGAAGAAGGAGGGATATAGATGGAATAAAAGATTGGAAAGAAGAGAAACAGAGAGAGTAAGGGAAACAGTGAGGGATGTAGAGACGGAAGAAGGGAAAGGAAATGAAAAAGAAAAAGGAGAGTGGGGAGAGAGAGAAAAGGGAAGGTATGAGAAGAAAGAAAAGGGAGAAAGAGGGAAGGAGCGAGGGGAAGAGGATTTTGCTAGCTACTTTTGGTCCATTTGGTCCTCGGTTGGGCTCTACCAGCTGTATTCTTACCAACCAGCCAGTGTATGACGTAAGTAAATGTTTAAAGTTCAATTGAACATGCTCCTCTTTCATGTTTAATTAGCTGAGTTGGAAGAGGACTGATGTTTCAATCAGAGTAAGTTTCTGCCCCTAGTATTTGGAAGGTCTTATAATACCCAAATATATTTGATGCAATTGCATTTGAGAGGAAGATTTAGTAACCATCAATTGTGATGAAAAATATTGTTTCTTATAGTCCTCTCAAACCTCAAATCCAAAATTTAGTGGCATATTTAAGGAGGGCATTTTGTATACATATTTTAAGTTCATGCTTACTCTTTTATTAACTTTTTGTGTTTTAAATTCCAGCTGCTACTAATCAAAGCATTAATAAAATCATCATAATGTTAAGGACATTGCTACATATCTCTTTCCCTGGTGATGCACTCCTGGACTGAAATACTTGGATTATCTGCCGTAAAGAGCATCGTTTGATTCAAATCAAGATACAGAGTCATGATCGAGTGACTCTACCTGAGGTCAAACGGCCTATGGCTTTAAATCCCAGATCACCCTTTGTTCTTTTATTGGATGAGGATGACTTCAGAAGATGGGCAATAGAGGAACAAACTTAAAATTTTCGCCCAAGTTACTCATCATGGATGTAAAACCTGTTCCTGGGTGTAAATTCCCAGGCCACAGGAATACATGTTACATATGCTGGTATGACATGGCTTTCAGTTTTTGTTACACAAACACAAGCAAAAGACTAAATGACATTTTTGTTGTTGTTGTTTTTGAGACAGAGTCTCGCTCTGTCACCAGGATGGAGTGTAGTGGCGAGATCTCCACTCACTGCAACCTCCACCTCCCGGGTTCAAGCGATTCTCCTGCCTCAGCCTCCTGAGTAGCTGGGACTACAGGCACATGTCACCACTCCCATCTAATTTTTGTATTTTTAGTAGAGACAGGGTTTCACCATATTGGCCAGGCTGGTCTCGAACTCCTGACCTCGTGATCCGCCCACCTCGGCCTCCCAAAGTGCTGGGATTACAGACATGAGCCACCATGCCTGGCCAACTAAATGACTTCTTGAACAAAGAAGCATAGGGCTGTTATGGTTATCAAAGCACATCTTTTTATTGCTTTCCGTGGCTGTGCTGTTCATTAAGCAGAAGTGTTATCATCATATAGTATCCACTTTATAGATAAAAAAAATAAAAGCTTAAAGATATTTAAATCTCAGTCAGCTTTTCTGACTTTTGCTTCATATGATGATGGGGAAGCATGGATTTCTATTATTAAGCCTCAATCCTCCTCATATGACTCAACAAGTTACTTTAAAACTTAGAACCTGTAAAAGGGAAAAATAAATATTACCCCACAGGGTAAAGAATGGCAGGAGATGACATATAAAGTACCTAACACTTGTCTGGCACATTTTATGGAGACAAAAACACTAGGTACTTTTACTTCCAGAACATTGCCCTGCCTTTGATTAAAAGTATCATCTTTTCATGATAACAAGTGTCACTATTTTTCCTAATCACTTTAATAGTGTTTTCATTGTCAAAGATGTGTAAAACTTAGATAAGAACAAAGAAGAAAATTAAAATCACCTGTAATTTCACCGCTCAAAGATATGTCATAAAATGTAGGCATTTGGGTGTATATATTTATAGTCGATGTAATGTGTATGTATATATATGTATGTATACATACGCGTATATAAAACAGAACATGGGTTCACAACCTATGTAGATGCACAGAGCGCCATGTTTAGAAGGACACTTGGTTTAATGTACTGCTGTTACCTTCTTGATATCCTTAATAAGTTTTGAGTAGGAGGCCTCACATTTTCATTTTGCACTCTGCTTGACAAATCATGTAGCTGGTCTGGCACTCACAGTAGAGTTTTGAAAACATTGGAATGATGTTTGAAATTAGACTGGGAATATATATTGTTTAGTAACCTGACTTTTGCATATAATAAACTCTGTTCATTTTCCCATGTCATCAAATATTTTTATGACATGATTTGCACGACGGCATGGTGTTTTCTATTGTCCAGTCCGTGAAGTTCCAAAATTCACAGTTTTTACTCTTGATGCTACTATCGGCTTCAGTTTATAATTATCTGAAAATAAACAATTTCAAGATATATTTAAAATACACTAGAAAGGTTGTAATGTAAAATTAATTGGTACACTATGAATTCTCAAAAATGCTGTCTTTTTAGCCACATTAAGGGTCCACTTTACCTACTAAAAGGTGCTACCTTTCTATGTTAGTAAAATTCTTAGACTAGGACTATTAAATGATGTGTTAGGAGATCTTACCTCCATTTACTCATGTAGGTAAGATTTTGCTTGCCTTTCCCAAGCACATTCTAACTGAGGGAGAAGTAAAGAATTTATAAGTGACTTAGCACTTAAACCGAACCCGAAGCACCCTACAAGGTAACTAGAGTAATAATTTATTCTGAGTAGAAACTCCTAAACTTGGTAATAAATCGGATAATATAACTATGTTAACAAATAGTTAAAAAAGAGGGTAAATCTTTTTTTCCAATATCTGAGCAGTATGAAATAAGAGCTCTTGGCAAATGAATCCAATAAAAAATTCCCTAATTGCAGAAAAGCAGTTCGAAAGTGATTTTGCAAATCAAAGGGAGCATTTGGGATTAGCTTTCAAAATGAAGACTGGAGTCCTACATCTTTATTACAGCCAGAATGGTGAGCCGAGCAAGCTTAAAAAGTGGTCACGTGAAAGAGTAAAAAGAATAGAATCTTGATTATAGTAAATTTAAATTTGGCCTGACTAGAAATGGTAAATTTTGCAGAAAGGCAACGGAAATTACGCTGGAACTTGGCATAGCTCTCAGAAAGTAGACTAGATGAATAATAACAGCAAATTTCATGACTTTGAGAGAGCAAAGAATCATCATATATACATGCGTAGTTCCTTTAAAAAGCCATGCTTTCTATCCAGCGTTGATTTTTGAGAATCTCTTTACAGATTGTTAAGTAAGTTCTATTTATTTATTGCAAATGTGATTAATTCCCAGTAATATGCCCTTATGTCCCTTCAGGATTCTTACTAAACTAAAGCCAATAATAGCATCAAGTACCAAAAACTGTGAACATTGTGGTTTCATGGGACATCATTTAATGGTATACGTGTAATATTTTCACTAACATATAAAGATAATGCCTTTCTTACCACTCAGAATGAGTAGGTAAATTGGACTTTTGATGCAGTTTACAAGATGTAGCATTTTTGAGAATTTGTAGTATGAAAATTAATTTTATATATCTAACTGCTGAGAGTGAATTTTAAATACAAAAATATATATTGCATGTATTTAAAAGCAATTTTAACTGCTGCATAATATTTGTACATATTAATGAGGGTTCATGTAATATTTTGTTACATGCATAGCAAGTTTTCATATGCCTCTTTGACATTTGTATATTTTCTATTGAGAAATGTCTATTCATATATTCTGTCCATTGTTTAAATCGTTAGATTTTTTTTCCTATAGAATTGTTTGTGCTCCTTATATATTCTTATAATTGATCCCTTGTCAGATGGGTTGTTTGCAAATATTTTCTTTCATTCTGTGGGCTGTCTCTTCATTTTGTTAATTCTTTCCTTTGCTGTGCAGAAACTTTTCAACTTGATATGATCCCATTTGGCTACTTTTGCTTTGGACACCTGTGTTTGTGGGATACTACTCAGGAAATTTTTGCCCAGATCAATGTCCTGGAGATTTTCCCCAAAGTTTTACTGTAGTTGTTTCACAGTCTTAGGTCTTAGATATAAGTCTTTAATTCATTTTGATTTGATTATTGTATATGTTGAGAGATAGAGGTCTAGTTCATTCTTCACCATATGAATATTCAGTTTTACCAGAACCATTGACTGAAAAAACTATTTTTTTTTTTTACCAGTGTATGTATTTGGCCCATTTGTTAAAAGTAAGTTTGCTGTAGCTGTGTGGATGTGTTTCTGCATTCACTATTCTGTTATAGTTGTCTATGCGTAAGTTGTTACACCAGTATCATACCATTTTGGTTACTACAGCTCTGCAGTATAATTGCAAGTCAGGTAATGTGACTCCTCCAGTTTTCTTTTTTCTTACAATAACTTCGGTTATTCTGGGTCTCTTATGGTTCCACATACATTTTAGGATAGTTTTTTCTATCTCTGTGAAAAATGTCATTGGTATTTTGATAGGAATTGAATTGAATCTGTAGATTGATTTGAGTAGTATAGACATTTTGGTATTGATTCTTCTAATTGATGAACATGGAATATCTTTCCATTTTTTGTGTCCTCTTCAATTTCATTGGTCAGCATTTTATACTTTTTATTATAGTAATCTTTCATTTCTTTGATTGAGTTAATTCCTAGGCATTTAATTCTATGTGTGGCTATTGTAAATGGGATTACTTTTATGATTTCTTATTCGAATTGTTCGCTGTTGACATATAGAAATGCTACTAATATTTCTATGTTGATTTTTTATCCTGCAATTTTACAGAATTTGTGTATCAATTTGAATATTTTTTGCGGGTCTTTAGGCTTATCCAAATATGAGATCATATCATCTGCTAACAATGATAATTAGACTTCCTTTTTTCCCATTTGGATACCCTTTATATTTTTCTCTTATCTGATTTCTCTAAGACTTCCAGAACTATGTTGAATAACAGTGGTGAAAGGGGGCATCCTTGTTGTGTTCCAGATCTTAGAAGAAAGCTTTCTGTTTTTCCTCATTTAGTATAGTGCTGGTTGTGTGTCTGTCATATATGGCTTTTATTATGTTGAGATATGTTCTTTCCATACCCTGTTTTTTAGTGTTTTTATCATGAAGTGATGTTGAATTTTATCAAATGCTTTTTCAGCATCAATTTAAGTGATCATATAGATTTTATCTTTATTCTGTTGTTGCAATGTGTCATGTTGATTGATTTGCATATATTGAACCATCCTTGAATTCCAGAGACAAATTCCACTTGGTTCTGATGAATGATATTTTTAATGTATTGTTGAATTTGGTTTGCTTGTATTTTGGTTCACGATTTTGCATCAATATTCAACAGTTATATTAGCCTGTAGTTTTCTTTTTTTGATGTGTCTTTGTCTGCTTTCAGTATCAAGGTAATATTGGGCTCATACAATGAGTTTGGAAGTATTCCCTTCTCTATTTTTTGGAATATATTGAGTAGGAATGCTATTAGTTCTTATTAAATGTTTGGTAGAATTCAGCAGTAAAATAATCAGTTCTTGAGAGTTTCTTATAAGGGAGATTTTTTTATTATGGTTTTGATCTTGTTACTTGGTATTGATCAGTTTAGGTTTTGGATTTTTTCATGGTTCAGTCTTGGTAAGTTATATAAGTCTAAGAATTTGTCTACTTTTTCTAGATTTTCCAAGTTATTGGTGTATAGATGCTCATAGTAGCCAGTAATGATCCTTTGAATTTATGCAGTATCAACTGTAATTTCTCCTTTTTCATATCTGATTTTATTTATTTTCATGTCTTAGTTAATGTCACTAAAAGTTTGTCAATTTTGTTTAATTTTTCAATAAAACAACTTTTCATTCTTTGACCTTTTGTACTGTTTTGTCATTTCAAATTCATTTATTTCTGCTCTGATCTTTGTATTTCTTTTCCTAATGTTGGGTTTGGTTTGCTTTTGTTTTTTCATTCTTTTATGGATAAGTTGTTTATTTGAAGGTTTTCCACTTTTTTGATGTAAGTACTTGTAGCTATAAACTTCCCTCTTAGTACTGTTTTGATTGTATCCCATAGGTTTTAGAATGTTGTGTTTTCATTTTCATTTGTCTCAGGAATTTTTTAAATTTCCCTTTTCATTTATTCACTGGTCATTCAGGAGGATATTGTTTAATTTACATGTATTTGTATAGATTTCAAAATTTCTAGTTATTGATTTCTAGTTTTACTCCTTTGTGGGTAGAGAAAATACTGATATTATTATTTCAATTTTTTTGAATGTGTTAAGACTTCTTTGTGATCTAACATATGGTCTATCCTTGAGAATGATCCTTGAACAGAGGAAAAGAGTGTGTATCCTACCACAATAGGATAAAATGATTCATATATATCTATTAGGTTTATTTGTTCTGTAGTGCAGATTAAGTCCTATGTTTCTTTGTTGATTTTCAAGGTCTGTCCAGTGTTGAAAGTGGAGTGTTGAAATCTCCAGCTATTGTTGTAATGGAGCCTATCTCTCCCTTTAGCTCTAATAATATATGCTTTATATATCTGAATGATCTGGTGATATATATATATATATATATGTATGTGTATATATATATATACACATACATATATATGTGTATATATATATACACATACATATATATGTGTATATATATATACACATACATATACACATATACATGTATATATATACATGCATATATATGTATATATATACACATATATGTGTATATATACACACACACATATATATATTTAGAATTGTTGTATACTCTTGCTAAATTGCACCCCTTTATATATATAGTGACCTTCTTTTTCTTTTCTGATGGTTTTCATCTTGAAATGTATTTTTTTCTGACATGTGTATGGTGACTCCTGCTCTTTTTTTGTTTCCATTGACATTGAATATCTTTTTCCATCTCTTCATTTTCTGTCTACATGTGTCTTTATAGGCACAATGCATTTCTTGTAGGACACAGATTAAAGGGTCTTGTTATTTAATCCATTCAGCCACTCTGTTTCTTTTGATTGGAAAGTTTAGTAATTTACATTCAATGTTATCATTGATAAGTAAGTACTTACTCCTGCCATTTTCTTATTTCTTTTTCTTGTTGTTTTGTGATCTTCTCTTCCTTCCTTCTTTCTTTCCTTCCTGTCTTCATTAATAAAAGTGATTTTCTCTGGTGACATAATAATTTCTTTCTGTTTTATTTTTTGTGTATCTGTTGCATGTTTTTTTTTGTTAGAGGTTACCATGAGGTTTGCAAATACTATCTTATAACTCATGTAACTCATTATTTTAAGCCAATAACAACTTAACACTGTTTGCGTAATAAAAAACACAAGCAAAAAGAAAACCAATAAAAACTCTATGCCTTAACTTTATACCTCCACTTTTCTAACTTTTTGGTGTTCTATTTATATCTGATTGTACTGTCTATATCTTGAAAAGTTGTTATAGTTATTATTTTAGATTGGTGAATAGTTTAATCTTTCCACTTAGGATAAGAGTAGTCTAGACACCATAGTTACAGTGTTATTATATCCTGTGTTTTTCTGTGTACTTACCAGTGAGTTGTGTACTTTCAGATGATTACTTATGACCACTCATTAACATCCTATTTTTTAATTGAATTTCTCCCTTTAACATTTCTTACAGGACAGGTCTGGTGTTGATGAAATCTCTCAGCTTTTGTTTGTCTGAGAAAGTCTATATTTGTCTTTCATATTTGAAGGATTTTTTCTGAAGATAAACTAATCTAGGGTAAAAGTTTTACTCCTTCAATATTTTAAATATGTCATGTCAATCTCTCCTGGCCTGTGAGTTTTCCACTGAAAAATCTGCTGCTAGACATATTGGAGCTCCATTGAATGTTATTTATTTCTTTTTTCTTGCTGCTTTTAGAATCTTTTCTTTCTCCTTTATCTTTGGTAGTTTGATTATTAAATGACTTGAGGTAATCTTTTTTGGTTTAAATCCACTTGATACTCTATAGCCTTCTTTTACTTGAATATTGATATATTTGTTTAGGTTTGAGAAGTTTCCTTCCTTCCTCCCTCCCTCCCCCCCATTCCTTCCTTCCTTTCTTTCTTTCTTTCTTCTTTCTTTTCTTTCTTTCTTTCTCTTTCTTTCCCTCCCCCTCCCTCCCTCCCTCTCTCTCTCTCTCTCTCTTTCTTTCTTTCTTTCTTTCTTTCTTTCTTTCTTTCTTTCTTTCTTTTTCTTTCCTTCTTTCTTTCTTTCTTTCTCTTTCTTTCTTTCTTTCTTTCTTTCTTTCTTTCTTTCTTTCTTTCTTTCTTTGATTTGCCCTTTTGAGGCTATTTTCTCAATCCTGTAAGCATGCTTCGTTGTTTTTTATTCTTTTTTAATCTCCTCTGTATCTTTTCAAATAGCCTGTCTTCAGGCTCACTAATTCTTTCTTCTGCTTGATCAACTCTGCTATTAAAAGACTTGGATGCATTCTTCACTATGCCAATTTTGTTTTTCTGATCCATAATACCTGCTTGATCATTTTTTTAATTATTTCAATCTCTTTGAAAAATGTATCTGATAGAATTCTGAGTTCATTCTCTGTGTTATATTATTTTTGAGCTATCTCAAAACGGATGTTTTGAATGCTCTGAAACATCACGTATTTCTTTTTCCCCAATGTGGGTCCCTGGTACCTTAGTTAGTTCATTGGTTGAGGTTATTTTCTTCTGGAATGTCTTGATACTTGTAGATGGTCACCTATGTCAGGGCATTAAAGAGTTTGGCATGTATCATAGTCATCACTGACTGTACTTCTTTGTACTCATGCTTCTTGGAAAGGCTTTCCACATATTCAAAAGGACTTGGCTGTTGTGATCTAAGATGTGTCTTCTTTAGGGAGCACCCCAAACCCAGTAACACTGTGGTTCTTGCAGACTTATATAGCTACCACTTTCATGATTCTCAACAAGATCCAGGAGAATTCGCTGGATTACTAAGCACAGACTTTTTTTTTGTTTCTATTCCCTTTTACTGTCTCTCAAACAAACGAAATCTCTCTCTGTTTTGAGCCACCTGAAGCTGGGGGTAGAGTGATCAAAGCGCCCTTGTAGCCACCACCACTATGACTACTGTTTCAGGACAGTGTAGGAAGGACAACTCAAACACTCAAGTGGGAGGGAGAGGAAAACTAAAACTTTATTACTATAAGCAAATATCACAACAAAAACAACCTTATAACAAGAGAAGACAAAATGTAACCGATTCTCATCAGACTGCAGGAAGAGTCATCACCAGAGTCGAAAGGAAGATGCCTGGGAGCCTGCAGTCGAAGTTTTAAGCAAACGTCACAGCAAAAACAGCCTTAAAAGAAGAGAAGACAAAATGTAACCAAAGCTTACCAGACCACAGGAGGGTCATCACCGGAGTCAGAAGGCGGACGCCCGGGATCCTGCAGTCGGACTTGGGTCATGCCCCAGCATACGACAACACAGCAGCCTTCAGCTCCTCCTTCGTGTAAGCTCCTTTTATTAGTCCAGTTCTTACCTTGGACACCCTCTGTTGCTTCCTTGGGAGGGCCCTTCCCGAGCAAGCAACATTTAAGCAATTGCTCCGGGAGTGGTGTTTTGGGAGCAGTGTTGCGGGACATACTCGGGGGACTTGAACAATCGTTCCAGGAGCAGTTTCCAGGAATGTGTTCCAGGATTTGAGTTAAGTTCTAGGCTTTTAGCAAAATCTTACACAAGGTGTTTACCTTTACACTTTAGGTGCCCCTGCCTTTTATAGACGGAGGCATATTTTAAAATGGTGTTAGCGTGGCCAATATTTTCTCTTCCTACAACCACGCTGGGTCAGACCTAAAGCCAGCACAGCACTCGATATCTCACCCAATGCCTGCTGTAACCACTCCCTGGTTACCACCTATGTTTGCTCAAGACCTTGGAGCTCTACAATGAGCAGGTGGCAAAGCCAGCCAGGCTTATGTCATTCCCGTCAGAGTGGCAAGCTACCCCAGTCTTTGGTGGGGTCGGGAAGTGCTATCCAGGAGCCAGGGACTAAAGTTTAAAACCTTAGAAGTCTACCCGGTGTTCTCTTGTACTGCAGCTGAGCTAGCACTCAAACCACAAGATGCAATTCTTCCCACTCTTTCCTCCACTTTCCAAAAGCAGTGGAGCCTCACCCCATGGCCAACACCAGCACAGGTTTATGGATAGTACTGCCAGACTACTACCAATGTCCCGTTAAGGCTCAAGGGCTCTTGAGTCAACTTGTGGTGAATGCTGCCTTACATGGAACTCATCCTTCAGGGCAGTGAGCTCCCCTCTGTCCCACAACAGGTTCAGAAATGCCATCCAAGACCCAAGTTCTGGAATTGGAGACCCCAGGTGCCCACTTGGTGCTCTACTTTGCTGAACTCAATCAGAAGGTGTCTCACCCCATATTCACCACAGCTGTGCATGTGCTGAGTCTCTTTGGAAGCCAGCAGGTCTCAGTGCCTCACCCATGGCCCTTTACATAATACATTTGTATCACATCTGGTTATTCAGGGCCCAAAGGCCCTTCAGTTAGCAGGTGACAAATCCTGCCAAAAGTGGGTTCTTCTCTTCAAGGCAGCAGGTTCCCTTCTGGCCCAGAGGCTGCCTAGAAATGTCATCCAGGAGTCAGGGCCTTAAAAGCAGGCTTTGGAACACTGAGCAGTACCCTGTCCTGCTGTGGCTGAGCTGGTATCCAAGATACAAGACAAAGTCTTCCCCACTCTTTCCTCTTCTTTCTTAAAGTGGAAGGAAGCTGTCTCTATTGTAGACATGAGCTGTGCAACCTGGGTTTGGGGGAAGGGTGATGCCAGCACTCCTGTAGCCACCCAAGCTGGTGTCTCTGTAGATGGCATGCCCACCTGGCCTACTGTCTCTGGGCCCATTTCCACAATAGGTCTTACATCAAAATTGCAGTCCTTGCTGCCTAGACTGCTTTTCAAGTTTAGTAGGGCCCCAGAGCACTTTATCCTGTGCTGACAAGGCATGTAGGAACTCAGTTTCTGACCACTGAGATCAGTCATTCTTTTCTGATTTGGGCTGGTTTCAATGCTCTCTGCAAGGGTGTCAGCTGAGTTTGTTCCGAATTTCCTTTCTGTTATAACAGACAGCACAGAGTTCAGTGTCTCACAATTGCAGTGCTTTCCCTCAGCCAGCGTGCAGAAACACTCTCCACACCATGCCACCACTATAGGGATTGGAGGAGAGGTGGCGCCAGTGATTCAACACTGTCCTACCTCTTCAGTGCCTCTTTCAGTGGTATACAATTAAAACAAGTTACTGTGAGTGCTCACCTCATTTTGAACTCATAAAGGTGCTTTTCTTGTGTAGATATTTATTAAATTGGTGTCCTTGCAGGGCAGATGATCAGTGGAGCCTTCTGTTTCACCATCTTGCTCCCTGTGGAGAGTTCTTATCATGAAGAAATGTTGAATTTTATTCAGTGCATTTTCTGCTCCTGTTAAGATGATCATATGGTTTTTGTCCTATATTCTGTTGATGTGATGCATCACTTTTATTTATTTGTGTATGTTAAATCATCCTTGCCTCCCTGAAATATATCCCATTTGATCATGGTGTATTATCTTTTGATGTACGGCTGGATTTGGTTTTCTCGTATATTGTTGTGAATTTTTGCATCTATATTCTTCAGGGATATTGACCTGTAGTGTTTTTTATTTTTTTTATTTTTTATTGTGTGTGTGTGTGTGTGTGTGTGTGTGTGGTATTATTGTCTTGTTTTGATAGCAGAGAATGCTGGACTCATAGAATGAGTTAGAAAGAACAATTCTAATTTTGTTTACTTGGATATTTTTTCTTGGTTACTCTAGCTAATGTTTTATCAGTTTTATGGATTTAAAAAAACAGCTTTTCATTTTGTTGATTTTTTGTATTGCCTTTTTAGTCTCTATTTTGTTTAGCTCTCCTCTGATCTTTATTATTTCTCTCCTTCTAATGATTTTAGATTGATATGTTCTTACATTGAAACTTCCTTGAAATGCATCTTTAAATTGTTTATTTGAATTTTTTTACTTTTCATGTAGGCACTTATTTCTATAAACTTCCCTCTTAGCACTGCTTTTTGCTGTATCCCATAGGTTTAGTTATATTGTGTTTTCACTTTTATTTATATCAAACATATTTTTGATTTTAATCTCAATTTCTTTGTTGACCCAATAGTTATTCAGGTGCATGTTGTTTAATTCTTAGGTATTTGTATAATTTCTGAAGTTCTGTGAAGATACTTAATATAATTGCAACTTCAAAAAATTGATTGAGACTTGTTTTGTGACTTAAAATATGTTCTATTCTGGAGAATGTTTCATGTGCTCATAGAACGAATGTGTATTCTGTAGCTGTTGGATATAATGTTCTGTAAATATCTGTTAAGTCAATTTGGTCTAAAGTGTAGTTTAAACTCAATGTTTCTTTGTTAATTTTCTGTCTAGATGATCTGTCTAATGCTGAGAGTTATGTGTTAAATTTATCCACTATTATTGTCATTGAGTCTTATCTCTTTATTTAGATCTAGTAATATTGGATTTCTACATCTGTGTGTTCCAGTGTTGGGTAGATATATATATATCAATTTATATATTATATATAAACTGATATATATATAAAATTTATATATTATATATAAATTGATATATATATAAATTTATATATAATATATAAATTGATATATATTTGCATTTTTATATTTTTATATATATAAATATATATATTTATATATATATATATTTAGAATTGTTGTATCTTTTTGCTAAATTTATTTATTTTCTTTCTTTTATTTTAGGTTCCAGGGATACATGTGCAGAATTGTTACATAGGTAAGTTGTGTCTCATGGGGGTTTGGTGTACAAATAATGTTGCCACCCAGGTAATTAGTGTGGTCCCACCCTCCATCTTCAAATAGACCCCAGTGTCTGTTATTCCCTCATTTGAGCCCATGCGTACTCAATGAATTGCATCTACTTATAAGTGAGAATGTGGGGTATTGGGTTTTCTGTTCCTGAATTAATTTTTCAAACCTAATGGCCTCCAGCTCCACCCGTGTTTCTACAGAGGCCACGGTCTTATTCTTTTTGTGGCTTCATAGTGTTCCATGGTATATAATGATGTTCTTTTTTTCTAGTTATTGTTTTTGATTTAAAGTTTGTTTTATCTTATATGAGAATAGAAACACCTGCTTGCTTTTGGTTTCTCTTTACTTGGAATATTTTCTTCCGTCTCTCTACTTTCAGTCTATATGTGTCTTTAGTGGTGACGTGTTTCTTTTCAGCAGCATACAGTTAGGTCTTGTTTTTAGAATCCATTCAGTCCATTTGTATAATTGAAGTGACAAATTTATTTTCATTCAAAGTTATTATTGATATATGAGGTTTTCTTTCTGATGGTGCAATTTTTACCTGGATGTTCTGAGTATTCTTTGTTCTTTTTTAAAACCTATTATTGTTTAGTGTTGTGGTATGGTGGCTTTCTGTAGCGGTAAAATTTGAGACTTTTTATTACTCATTTGTGTGTTTGCTTTAAGAGTAAGTTTTACACTTTAATATGTTTTCAAGATAGTAGATTTTGCCCTTTTTCTTCCAGGTTAGGACTTTATTAAGCATTTCTTGTAGTGCCAGTCTAATGGTTATGAATTTCCTCAGTTTTTGCTTGTTTGGCAAATAATTTACTTAAATTTTTTAAAAAATGATCTGGATATAGTTTTCCTGGATAACAGTTGTTTTCTTTCAGCACTTAACATCTCATGCCATTATCTCTGGGCCAGTAAAATTTTGACTGAGAAAGCCATTCTTAATCTGATGGAGATTTGTTTATATGTGACTAGATGCTTTTATTTTGCTGTTTTTAGAATTATCCCTTTGTCTGTGACTTATGGCAGTTTCACTATCATATGCCAGTGAGACATTTTTGAATTGTATTTATTTGGGTTGATATGGTTTGGCTCTGTGTCCCCACTCAAATCTCACCTTGAATTAAATCCCCATAATCCCCATGTGTTAAGGGTGGGACCGGGTGGAGATAGTTGAATCATGAGGGCAGTTTCCTTCATGCTGTTCTCATGACAGTAAGTGAGTTCTCACAAGATCGGATGGTTTTATAGGTATCTGACATTTCCCCTGCTTGCACTCCCTTCATCCGGCCACCCTGTGAAAAAGGTGCCTTTTTCTCCTTTGCTTTCTGCCATGATTATAAATTTCTTGGGGCCTCCCCAGCCATGTGGAACTGTGAGTCAATTAAACTTTTTTTTTAAATAAATCACCCAGTCTTGGGTATTTCTTCATAGCAGTATAAAAATGGACTTATACAGTAAATTGTTACCTAGGTAGTGGGGTGCTGCTATCAGGATACCCAAAAATGTGGAAGCGACTTTGGAACCGGGTAACAGGCAGAGATTGGAACAGTTTGGAGGACTTAGAATAAGATAGGAAAATGTGGGAAAGATAGAAACTTCCTAGAGATTTGGAGGACTCAGAAGAAAGGAAGATGTGGCAAAGTTTGGAACTTCCTAGAGACTTGTTAAATGGCTTTGACCACAATGCCGATAACGGTATGTGCAATAAAAAGCAGGCTGAGGTGGTCTCAGATGGCGGTGAGGAACTTGGTGGGAACTGGAGTAAAGGTGACCCTTGCTGTGTTTTAGCAAGGAGACTGGCAGCATTTTGGCCCTTCCCTAACGATTGGTGGAACTCTGAACTTGAGGGAGATGGTTTAGGGTGTCTGGCAGAAGAAATTTCTAAGCAGCGAAACATTCAAAAGGTAACTTGGGTGCTGTTAAAAGCATTCCACTTTAAAAGGAAATCAGCATAAAAGTTCGGAAAGTGTGCGGCTTGACAATGTGACAGAAAAGAAAAACCCATTTTCTGAGCAGAAATTCAAGCTGGCTGCAGAAATTTGCATAAGTAACAAGGAGCCGAATGTTAATTTCCAAGATCATGGGGAAAATGTCTCCAGGACATGCCAGAGACCTTTGCAGTTGCCCCTCTCATCACAGGCCCAGAGGCCTAGGAGGAAAACATGGTTTCCTGGGCCAGATGCAGGGCCTGCCCGCTATGTGCAACCTAGGGACTTGGTGCCCTGTGTCTCAGCCACTCCCATCATGGCTAAAAGGGGCCAAGGTACAGCTCGGGTTGTTGCTTCAGAGGGTGCAAGCCCCAAGCCTTGGCATCTTACACGTGGTGTTGAGCCTGTGGGTGCACGGAAGTCAAGAATTGAGGTTTGGGAACTTCTGCCTAGATTTCAGAGGATATCTGGAAACACCTGGATGCCCAGGCAGAAGTTTGCTGCAAGGGCAGGGCCCTCATGGAGAACATCTGCTAAGCCAGTGCAGAAGGCAAATGTGGGGTTGGAGCCCCCACACAGAGGGCCCACTGGGGAACCACCTAGTGGGCCTGTGAGAAGAGGAGCACTGTCCTCCAGACCCCAGAATGGTCGCACCTGAAAAATCAGTAGACACTCAACACCAGCCTGTAAATGCAGCCAGGATCCGGGCTATAACCTGCAAAGCAACAGGGGCGGAGCTGCCCAAGGCTGTGGGAACCCACCTCTTCCATCAGTGTGACCTGGATGTGAGGCATGGAGTCAAAGGAGATCATTTTGGAGCTTTAAGATTTGACTGCCTCGCTGGATTTTGGACTTGTATGGGGCCTTTAGCTCCTTTATTCTGGCCAATTTCTCCCATTGGGAATAGTTGTATTTACCCAATACTTGTACCTCCATTGTCTCGAGGAAGTAACTAACTTGCTTTTTAATTTTACAGGCTTGTAGGCAGAAGGGGCTTGCCCTGTCTCAGATAAGACTTTGGTCTGTGGATTTTTGAGTTAATGATGAAATGAGTTAAGACTTTGGAGGACTGTTGGGAAGGCATTATTGTTTTTGAAATGTGAGGACATGAGATTTGGCAAAGGACCAAGGGCGGAATGATATGATTTGGCTCTGTGTCCGCACCTAACTCTTATCTTGAATTCTAATTCCCATAATTCCCACATGTTGTGGGAGGGACTTGGTGAGACATAATTGATTCTTGGGGTCAGTTTCCCCCATACCACTGTGGTAGTGGGTAAGTCTCATGAGATCTGATGATTTTATAAGGGGTTTCCGCTTTGGCTTCTCTCTCATCCTCTCTTGCCACCACCATGAAAGAACTTTTCACCTTCCTTCATGATTGTGAGGCCTCCCCAGCCGTGTGGAACTGTGAGTCCATTAAACCTGTTTCTTCCAAGTCTTAGGTATGTCTTTATCAGCAGGTCTACAGATTTGTCATTGGTTTTGTTAAATTATGCCAAAATTAATAATGTTTATAAGCTGTGTAATCAAATACCAATTTATATATTTTCTGTTTTGTTTTGTTCTTTTTTTTGTCATTGGGGAAAATTTAGAAACTGTAAATGTAAAGAAGAAAATTAAAATTATGTATTTACTTCAAGAGATAACCACTATTTGCATTTTACTTTCCAAGATAATTCAAGCTCTGGGCCCCTTGTTTTATTGAGGCAATATAGCAGCTTTACCTGTCAGGATTTAGATAGCAATGAAGGAAATAGGTGTGGACCCTCCCTTTATAAGACTTTCAGTCTAGTTGTAAAAGACAAATTCCAAATGACACAAATAAAAACAAAGAACGTGTGGATAAATTGATTAAGTGAAATGAAAGTAAGGATCTGAAAGCAGTAAGAGAGAATAATAGAAAGATGGGGAGATGGGTAGTAATTTGACTGTCTTGAGACTTGAATTTGAACCAGAGTTGATGCATTGAGACCCAAAAGGGAACCAGACGGAATAAAGACTTGGACAAAATACCCAACATTAACTTTCTGCAAGAAACCTAAAGCATGAAAAACACTATGCAGCAGAGTTAGCTGGGCTCAGGTGTGCAATCTCGACTCAATGTAAAAATCCTGAGCCTGGAAACAAACATAAAAAGTAGTTTATAACACTGTCTCCTAGGGTTGTTTCCACAGCTCAAGCCATTCATGAGAGAAAATAGAAGAAAAATATAACTTTCAGGGAAGATGAGCTGTAGGATAAAAATTCCTAAATAAGCAAACAAAGAAATAAATGGAAGTACAACTCCATGTAAAAGAGCTTACAGATAAACTGTACTTGAGAAATTAGAGCCAATAGAGCAATTTAAAGATGTCTGTACATATGTTTATACATTTTAGAGATAAAAAAAGAAGTGACAAATATTTTGTCCGTTGAACAGGAAGCTAAGAAGCATATACAAACTAATATGAACAATAATTGAGTATGATATGAACTGATATAAACAATAATCATAGAGATAAAAAAATAGTTAACATGAAACAAAATATGTGAGTTAAATATTACTCTTGGCATAACTAAACAAATAATTAATGGACTAGAAGAGAAAATCAACATTTTCTTTGATCAAAAAATAAGAAAAAAAATTAAAGTAGGCTGGGTGCAATGGCTCATGCCTGCAATCCCAGCACTTTGGGAGGCTGAGGCAGGTGGATCACGAGATTGAGAGATCAAGACCATCCTGGCCAACATGGTGAAACCCCGTCTCTACTAAAAATATAAAAATTAGCTGGGTGTGGTGGCACACGCCTGTAGTCCCAGCTACTTGGGAGGCTGAGGCAGAAGAATCGCTTGAATCCGGGAGGCAGAGGTTGCAGTGAGCCAAGATCACACCACTGCACTCTGGCCTGGCGACAGAGTGAGACTCCATCTCAAAAAAATAAATAAATAAATAAATAAAATATAACCAGAACATTCTGCTACAGGAAGAAGAGAATGAGGAGCTCTACCATAGAACTTAAAGAGGAGAGAATAAAATGTCAAAGAGGAGATATTTGAGGAGATTAAGTATTCTGAGAGATTATATTAAATAAATATTATGGCAGTATTCAAAGGAATATTTCAAAAATGAGAACTTAAGAAATTCCACAGTGTCAAGTTCACTTCAAAAATAATTGTCCCTAAATACATTGTAATGAAAGCATAAGGAGCATAGATAATAAATTTAACGTACAAAGAAACAACATAGAAACAATGTTCTTCTTGAGGTGAGTTTTCCTATTGCTTTTATATTTAGAGATTTTTCTTCCCTTGAATGTTTTGATTACGTTTTGAGAGTCCTAGGACCAAAACAAAACATTTGATGTGATACAAAAGAACACAATCCAAAGATACAATTTGATTAGGAGATGTTTTAAAAGAGATTTTATTTATCTGTGACACACCTCATGCCATAGAAATTTTGCCAGATTTAAGAGAAGGACACTTTCACAAATATAGTTTTTAATTGTTTAAAGTTGAAATATTTCAATACTATATTATCCAATCTTCTTCCAGCAGCTCTCCACTCCTATTGTAATAGCAAAATGGAAGAGTCCTGTTTTTATTTAGCCACCACTAACTTTGTTTAATCGTTGGAAATTTTAAGTTTTTATACCACCACCAATAATTTGTCATTATACCTTTAAAATATGATATTACCTAAATTTACATATCAGCAGAGATTACACCTATCAGGTATATTTGAAAACTAAAAAAAAATTAATCAAACACAATTTTCTGGAAATGAAATGAACGGGTAAGTCACTTTACAATCCGGTGACTAGATGTCCATTATTTTGACTAGAGGAAATAATGGGGATAGAGAACTATCTTAGTCAGTTTGGGCTGCTATAACAAAATGCCATAAACTGGGTGGCTTATAAACAATGGAAATTTATTTCTCACAGTTCTGAAGTCTGCAAGTTGGGAATCAGGATGCCAGCATTGTTTATTTCTGATGAGGATTCTCTTATCTTCTGAGTTGCACACTGACTGACTTCTTGTTTAATGTTCACCTGGCAGAGAGTAGACCAAGGAAATATACTCTCTTGACTATTATGAGGTCACTAATCCTATTTATGAGGCCTTCACCCTTATGACCTCATCTAATCCTAATCACTTCACAAAGGTCCTGTCTCTTAATAATATCCCAATTAGAGGTGGGTTGTCAATATAGGAAATCTGGGGGAACTTAAGTATTCAGCCTGATATGGTTTGGCTCTGTTCCCACCCAAATCTCACCTTGAATTGTAATCCCCATAATCCCCACGTGTGGTAGGAGGGACCGATGGGAGGTAATTGAATCATGGGGTCAGTTTCCCCCATGCTATTCTCATGATAGTAAGTTCTCACAACCAAAATCTGATGGTTTTGTAAGGGGCTTTCCCCCCTTTGCTTGGTTCTCATTCTTCTCCTTCCTGCTGTCCTGTGAAGAAGGACATGTTTGCTTTCTCTTTTGCTATGATTGAAAGTTTCCTCAGGCCTCCCCATCCCTGTGGAATTGTGTCAATTAAACCTCTTTTCTATAAAATGTATGAAGCCTTGGGCAGCTTTTTATAGCAGCATGAGAACGGAACAATAAAAGTACCAATGCAAAAGGGTTCTGTCCTTTAGACTCCTCAATTAATGTTATACCTCTGTAATCATATTATATTCATATCCTTGCACATTATGTTGTTAAAATTCCACTTACGTGTTCTTTAGAGTGTTCATGCCTTCTATATTTTACATTCAGCTCTTTAATACATTTGAAATTTACCTTAGTATTTGATTTGAGGTCAGGATATACTTAAGAGATTTTCAAATAGTTATCTTCTTTGATTGACATCATTTAAGGAATATTTTGTTTCCATTGTTTTGTGGTGATTCACTTTTAATTTGCTGATTTTGTTTTTATAATAAAGTCCCTTTCAGAGCAATATAGTTCATGCAATTTATCTTTCTATTGATTCTTGCGTCAGTACCAAATTCTTAATGACTGTGACTGACAGTCATTTTAATATCTGGTTGAGCAAATCTCTCTGCAATGTCCTTTTCTCACTTCTTCAACATGTTCCTAGCTATTACAAGTATCAAAAGTTTGTTTTTACAGAAGAATATTAGAATATAATTTTAATTCAATTTTTTCCTATGATATTTTTATTTGAACTTGGAGGGCTCAGAAGAAGACAGGAAAATGAGGGAAAGCTTGGAACTTCATAGATATTGTTTAAAACTATAAACTAATTTTACAAAAATGAATATATATATAATATATAATATTCTTAAGAGATCATTACAAATCTTGATGGATCTTCAGTTATTACAATATTTTCTAAATAATCTTTCATCTATCTTTTTTAGTTCCCTTTATTTAGGTTCAATTAATTATTTTAAGATCATTTCTAGATGTTTCATGTCTTCTATTTCTATTGTGGATTTAATTCTCTATATAATTAGTAACATTTATATTTAATTTTTAAAATAATTATTGTCTGTTGCACTGATATTTTAAACTAGAAAAGCTCTAGAACTCCCATATAATTTTATTTTATTATGCTTCCATTTTTTTCTGGTGTATATTCCAGGTAGATCATTAGATCATGTAATACTTTTAACAATTTTTTCCTACTTCTGTTATTCAGAGCATAAAAGTTCATGGCTGTTACTTCTTCATGGTGAAATGAAACTTTTATATATGAATGATATCTCAAATTGGTAAAGGTGACTTAGGTCACAACCTTTACTTTCCTCAGAACTCTGTAGACACTGCTTCATTTTCTTCCAGTGCTCAATATTGCAGAGAAAAGTTCTGGTATCAGATTGGGATTTTTGTTCCTTTGTGAGTTGCCTGATTTTTCTGCTGAGCTGTATGTACAATTTTTTTTGTACATGTAATTCAAAAATATCACTAGGATTTGTCTACATATTTTTCTCTTTTCATTAACTTTAACTGAAATACAATTAACTTTTTTCATCAGCAGACCCCTTTATTCAGCTCATAAAAAGTTTCTTCTATTATGCCTTTAGTTAGTTATTCTCTTCTATTATGCCTTTAGTTAGTTATTCTCTTCTATTATGCCTTTAGTTAGTTATTCTCTTCTATTATGCCTTTAGTTAGTTATTCTCTTCTATTATGCCTTTAGTTAGTTATTCTCTTCTATTATGCCTTTAGTTAGTTATTCTCTTCTATTATGCCTTTAGTTAGTTATTCTCTTCTATTATGCCTTTAGTTAGTTATTCTCTTCTATTATGCCTTTAGTTAGTTATTCTCTTCTATTATGCCTTTAGTTATTCTTTCGGCTTAATTTTGGTTTCTTCCTTTGGGTAGCCAATTACCTGCAAATCAAATTTTGGCTGTCTCTTGTCCTATCTCTCATTTTCTTTCATTATTTTCATCTCTTCATTGGTTTTTTCCATAGTTTAGTGTGGGGGACATGCTTATAGAATTCAGGATCTGACAAAGAGTAAGAAACCAGGAAATAATTACTATATAATTATATCCAAAGCCCTTCTTTACCCAGACTTTATTCACTGCACGAAGGTGTTAACAAATTCCATTGTTGTGCAAATTTAAGACTAATAAATCATTTTACATCCATAATTTTATTTGACTCTCATAACAACACTTAGAAGTGAGATATTATTGTTGCTATTTTATAGATGGAAAAACTGATGTTCAGAAAGGTTAAGTAATTTAAGATTGCACAACTGGGTACTGGTGGATCTAAGAACAGGGACCTCATTCTAGAGAGTGCCCCAATCATTACTCTTTCCTCTCTTGGGCAGCATTGATACTTGGTAACTGTTCCTTCAGAATATAAAACCCTCCAAATAAAGAATTAGCTATGGAATTTCAGCTTGAGGGATTTGTACTTTCAGGACGCAAGAAATCATTATTTGTCATTTTTTTTCTTTGTTTAAACTGACATCATGGCATTTTCTATTCTTCAAACAGATATTCTAATCACTCTAGCAATATAAAGCAATTGTAATCACAGATGTACTTGATCCTTCTTGCTGGCTCTCTTTTCCAAAAATAGAATCTTTGCTTCGGATTCCTCATGAAATAGTACAGTTGGGCCTTTGTGTTTAAACTTCCTGATTATTTGAAAATAGCTTTATCTGCAAACTGCAATATCATAAAAAGAGAATAAAAATATAAGAAAAAAGAAAAACCTTACCACAGTTTTTGATATATGTCACACATTGATGAAAGCTTTCCTCACACACTAAATGGCAGTTGAATATTTAACTCTGAAATTTAGTATTTCGTATTTATTGGTATAAATATGATTATGCTTTTCGGCTCTAAAATAGTAGATCATTATTTGTTAAGGATCGGGACATTGCATTTCTAAAATCTGTCATATGAATATTGCATGGTGAATTTATATGTAAAATCTATCTCTATCTCAGTTGTGTATAGGCTTATGTTGCTCTAGTGGTAGTGGGCCTTGATGCTAGACCATCCTCTGCTCCCTGGGCCTTCTTCACAAACACACACACAATCACAAACACACACAAACATCTACATAAATTGTAACCTCCTAGGGTCCCAGACTAATGGAGACAATACAAAGACTCATCTTCTTTGTGATACTTTCTGATCCCTGTGATGTCAGAAGACCTGCTCCAGAGAGATCTGTGAAGCATTTTTTTTCCATAGTGAATTACAGGAACAGAGTTTTACTCTCTGCTCCTTCTAGGGTAATATCCAGGATTGTACCTCCCTGGCTAAAACTCAAAGGGAGGGCTAAGAAATTTCTCAGCCCTTGTGCCTTTATATCAATTCTAATTCCAAACTACCTTTGACTGCTTCAAGCAGAGTACTTGAAAAATTAGAGGCATCATACTACTTATCTTCAAAATACATTACAAAGCAATAGTAATTAAAACAGCATAGTATTGTCATAAAAACAGATACATAGACAAATGAAACAGAATGGAGAACCCAGAAATAAATTCACACATTTACAGCCAACTGGTTTTTCACAAAGGAGCCAAGAACACACACTGGGCAAAAGATAGTCTCTTCAAGAAGTGTTGCTGAGAAAGCTAGATATCCAGATATCTAGTTTTACTAGATATATGCATTATATATAGCATATATATTTATATATGATATATATATGATATATATATATATATATATATATATATATATATATATATATATAAAATACACACACACACAGGAGAATACTAGACAGAGTCCTAAAAAAAATTCTCTCATTTGGTACAATATGGATGAATTCCTAGTAGTCATTATGTTAGGTGAGTCAATTAAACTTCTTTTTTTATAAATTACCCAGTCTCATGTATTTTCTATAGCAGTGTGAGAATTGACTAATATACAAGGTCTCGTTATTTAAAAGCATGTAGGTCATCTCTTCTTCCTGCTCCAGCCATGTAAGACATGCTTGCTTCCTCTTAACCTTCCACCATTATTGAAAGTTTCCTGAGGCCTCCCCAGAAGCCATCATGCTTTCTGTACAGCCTGTGAAATTGTGACCCAATTAAACCTCATTTCTTTGTAAATTACCCAGTCTCAGTTATTTATTTATAGCAATGTGAGAAAGGACTAATACACTGATTAAAAATGGTAAAAATATCTGAATAGGCATTTATCAAAAGAAGAAACAGAAATTGCCAATGGGTATATGAAAAAAACGTGAAGTGTATCTAATAATCAGTAAAATGCAAGTCAAAACCACAGTGTGATATCATATCATCCCAGTTAGAATAAATATTATCATGAAGAATGAAAAAATAATTGCTGGCAAAGATATGGAGAAAAGGGAACTTTAATACCCTGTTGGTAGGAACGTATATTAGTAAAGCCATTATAGAAAACTGTATGGAGTGTCCTCAAAATACTGAAAATAGAATTACTGTATAGTACAGCAGCCTCACTTCTGGGTGTATATCCAAAAGACATGGAATCAGCACATTGCAGAGCTATCTGCACTCTCATGTTCATTGCAGTACTCTTCACAATAGCCAATAAATGGAATCCACCTAAGTGTCCATCAACACATGAATGCTTAAAGAAAATGTTATACATATATATATACACACAATATATATATATATATATCGCATATATTTATATATCATATAGATATATACATTATACACACACACAATGGAATACTATACAGAGTCCTAAAAAAATAAAATTATCTCATTTGGGACAATATGGATGAACTCCTAGTAGTCATTATGTCAGGTGAAGTAAGCCCAGCACAAAAGGAAAGATAACGTATGATCTCACTCTTATGGAATCTTAAAAAGTTTACCTCATGGAAGTAGAGAGTAGAACAGTGGTTAACAGATGCTGGGGAGAAGATGGAGGGACAGTGGAGACATGTTGGTTAAAGAATGCATATTGGGAATTCTCTGTGTCCTGGGAATTATCTGGCTCCTTGGTCCAGGAGAATTACTTAAATCCGGGAGGCAGAGGTTGCAGTAAGCTGAGACTGCACCACTGCACTCTGCACTCCTGGGCAACAGAGTGACACTGCCAAAAAAAAAAAAATTATTCCGGGCCTGAAGTCAACACTGGACTAAATGGATCTGCTGGACATCTACAGAACTCTCCACCCAAAAGCCAACAGAATATACACTCTACTCCTCAGTACATGGCACATACCCTAAAATAGACCCCACAGTTGGACATAAAAGAATTCTCAGCAAATGCAGAAGAATCAAAATCATACCAAACACTCCCTCAGACCAACTGCAATGAAAATAGAATTCAAGACTAAGAAAATTGCTCAAAACCATACAATTAATTACATGGAAATTAAACAATCTACTTATGAGTGATTTGGGATAAATAATGAAATTAAGGCAGAAAGCAAGAAGTTCTTTGAAACTAATGAGAACAAGTATACAACATACCAGAATATCTGGGACAAAGATAAGGCAGTGTTGAAAGGGAAATGTATAGCACTAAATGACATATCAAAATGTTAGAAAGACCTCAAATTAACAACATAACATCACAACTAAAAGAACTAGAGAAGCAAGAACAAACCAATTCCAAAGCTAGCAGAAGACAAGAAATAACCAAAATCAGAGCTGAACTGAAAAAGATTGAGACACAAAAAAAATCATTCAAAAGATCAGTGAATCCAGGAGCTGATTTATTGAAAGAAAGAATAAGATGGATAGACTGCCAGCAAGACTAATAAAGAAGAAGAGAGAGAAAATCCAAGTAAACACAAGTAGAAACAACCAAGGGGATATTAGTATTGATCCCACAGAAATAAAAATAACAATCAGAGACTACTGTGAACACCTATGTGCACACAAACTAAAAAATATGAAAAAAAGACAAATTCCTGGACACATACACCCTCCCAAGACTGAACCAGGGAGAAACTGAATCCCTGAACACACCAATAATGAGGTTCAAAATCGAATCAGTAATAAATAGCTGTATTAGTTCATTCTTTCATTGATATAAAGAAATACCTGAGACAGGATCATTTATAAAGAAAAAGAGGTTTAATTGGCTCACTGGTCTGCAGGCTGTACAGGAAGTGTAACATTGGCATCTGCTTCTGGGGAGATCTCTGGAAGCTGAAAATTATGGTGGAAGGTGAAATGAGAGTTTTCGCATCACATGGCAAAAGCTGGATCAAGAGACAGAAGGGGGAGGTGCTACACACTTTTAAACAACCAGATCTCATGAGAATGGACTATTTAAAGGACAGTACCAAGGGGAATACTAAACCATTCATGAGTAATCCACTAATCATAATTCAATCACCTTCACCCCAGCAGACCCCATCTTTAACATTGGGGATTACAATTCGACATGAGATTTGAGGGGAACACAGATCCAATCCATATCGATAGCCTACCAACCAAAATATGCCCGGGACTGGATGAATTCTCAGCCAAATTCTACCAGATATAAAAAGAAGAGCTGGTACCATTTCTTCTGAAACTATTCCAAAAAATTGAAGAGGAAGGCTCCTCCTCAACTAATTTTATGAAGCCAGCATCATCCTGATACCAAAATCTGGCAGAGACACAACAACAACAAAACTTCAGGCCAATATCCTTGATGAACATTGATGAAAAATTGCTCAACAAAATGCTAGCACACTGAATTCAGCAGCACATTAAAATGCTAATCCACCAGGATCAAGAAAGCTTTATCCCCGGGATGCAAGTTTGGTTCAACATATGCAAATCAATAAGCGTGATTCATCACGCAAACAGAATTAAAGACATAAACATCATAATCACTTCAATAGATGCAAAAAAAAACTTTCAATAAAATTCAACATCCCTTAATGTTAAAAACTCTGAACAACCTAGGTATTGAAGGAACATACCTCAACATAATAAGAACCATCTGTGAAAAACCCACAGCCAATATCATACTGAATAGACAAAAGCTGGAAGCATTCCACTTGAAAACTGGCACAAGAAAAGGATGCCCTCTCACCAGTTCTATTCAACGTAGTATTGGAAGTCCTGGCTAGGGCAATCAGGAAAAAAAAATAAATAAAGGGTGTCCAAATAGAAAGAGAGGAAGTCCAACTATACCTATTTTGCAGACGACATGATTCTATATCTAGAAAACCCCATAGTCTTTATCCAAAAGCTCCTTCAGGTGATTAAAAAAAAAAAAAAACACTTCAGCAAAATTTCAGGATACAAAATCAATGTACAAAAATCACAATGATTCCATATACCAACTACAGCCAAGCTGAGAGCCAAGTCAGGAAGGCAATCCCATTCACAGTTGTCACTAAAATAATAAAATATTTAGGAATACAACTAACCAGGTAGGTAAATTTTCTCTACAGAGAGAATTTAAAAACAATGCTGAAAGAAAGCAGAGATGACACAAACAAATGAAAAATCATTCTGTGCTCATGGATAGGAAGAATAAATATAATTAAAATGACCCTACTGCCAAAAAGAATTTACAGATTCAATGCTATTCCTATCAAACTACCAACGACATTTTTCACAGAATTAGAAAAAAAACTATATTTTCAAAATCATATGGAACAAGAAAAGACCCTGACTAGCCAAGGCAATCTTAAGCAAAAAGAACAAAGCTGCAGGCATCATGCTGACCAACTTTAAACTATTCTACAGGGCTGCAGTAACCAAAACAGCATGGTACTGGTACAAGAACAGACACATTGGCCAATGGAACAGAATGGAGAACTCAGAAATAAGACCACACACCTATAGCTATCTGACCTTTGACAAACTTGACAAAAACAAGGAATGGGGAAAGGATTCCCTATTCAATAAATGCTGCTGGGATAACTGGCTAGCCATATGCAGATGATTGAAACTGGACCCCTTGCTTATACCACATACAAAAATTGACTCAAGACGGATTAGAGACTTAAATGCTTACCACGTTTCAGGCTCTAGGCTTAGGTTATCTTAAAATAAGAGATCTATACTTTGTAAACTTCACTGTTTTACACTCTTTATATTTTCCTTTATTTATTTCCTTTGAGGATTTTGCCTGACTTCAGCAATATTTCTTTTGAAAACCCCAGTATCACTTCCGCTGAGGGTTCTTGGCTTTATCTATACTAAGGTTATCATCTTCAAAGGGCAACAAGGACCTGTGGGAGGACAGGCATGCTGGTAGCAGTAAACATCATGTAAGTGGACTTCAAGAAGAATAGAAATCCTCATTGTAGCAAATTACTATCGCTTGATCCTCTTGAACTATCCTTACCCACTAGAGGTTCCTTTCAGAACTTGCAGGACTTTGTGCTTTGCTTTAACTAAAAGGATATTTCATTTTATGTGGAAATTTGTTCCTTTATATATCCTGAATTTATTTGACTTTGTTTTGCAGAATATCTATCAGGTAGAGCTTAGGTCCATACTGATAATAAGTCATGTAGTACATGGCATTCTTACAGATGACACCTTGATATGTTGACACTTTGTTTTCTATAAAAATATAATATGTCCCTGGACTTGAAAATAGTCTCTAGATAAAGACAAAACAGTTACATTTATCCAGGGTGCTCTGGACACCATAAATTACTTCATAGAAAACCTGGCTTTCAGAAATAATGCACCCCAGATGGAGAAACTTCATTTTAAAGGACACTCAAGGCCAAATCAACCATCTTGATTCGACAGATGTTGCTTAGCACAGTGTTTACAATACCAATTTCCACATCTGAATTTTGTTGCTTTAAGTAATCATGTACGTACTGGGGAAAATAAATGAAAGTCTACACAAAACTGATCTCCCGTATGTGGTTTTAAATAACCGTCAAAGATGAAATGGAAGCATAGGTGCTGAACTTCCCTGTAAATTCCTACATCACAAAAATATGCAGCATTTTTAGACTAGTCCTCCCCCACTCCTGAGTTTCTGCATTTAAAAAGACAATAGTGAAAAATATCAATATATACTTTTGTTCTAAATAAATCTGTTAATATTTTAAAATGGTAACAACAAAATAAGAAATAAGTTGCTTGAATCCAGAATGATTTTAGAGTTCTCTGTAAACATACCACATGTATGCCAGACTATTTTGAACCAATATTTGTGTTTTATTCTGATTGATTGTTGTGTTTCATCTTCTATTGTACAATTCACAATTTTCTCATACCTCAAATATTTAATTTTCCTGCTTATTCTTGAAGTCTATTCTTGAAAGCAGAGATTTCCTCTGTAGTTTAAATAATCAGCCAACTCATAGTGCCCCTGGGACCCTGAAAGGCATTCTATATTACCTATTATAGTCTCTGTTCAGGCACTCTCCTCCCTCTCTAGGTTTATGGTAATAGCACAAACAAGCACAGAAACGAATGGTAATAGAAAAACAAACATGTACACAAAATCATGGTGTCCCAATCTTCTATTTGCTCTCACCCACATTTCCTTCAGCTAGAAGCTTATGTTATTGAACATGGGAGGAACGGCCATGTATTAAGTATTTAACAATACTTAATACTGATACTGTATTATTTAACAATACTTAATACTGATACTGTATTAAGTAGATACAGCTGATCCTTTTGGCTTATGTCTGCATGGTTATATCAAAGAGCATTATAAAAGTATCCATCAGTGGAAATGACCCTTCCAGTGTACTCAAGGAGAAAATTTCTGTAACTGCCTAATAATCTAAAACATATTTTTCTTTCCTGTAAATACTGACAGCATTTATAAAGGTTATAAGGTTGAAATTAAAAAGATATTTGTAAAAAAAAAAAAGAAATAAACATGCTTATTGACCTAAAATCACATGGAAAAATGTCTTATCTAAGTGTGTGGGGCACCTGCCATTAATGTTATCTTTCCAGTAAGTGGTCTCCAAAGTATACACCTTTCTCTAGTTTCTCGACCACTGCCTGGGTGAAACTCTAATGACAATAGTGGAATTTCACATTAATTTGCATAATTCTTGATCAATGTCTTTCTCCTCCAGTATATGATAAATTTCCTATCATAGGGGCCACATCAGTTTTGTTCATTGCCATATCCTCTGTGCCAAGCCAAGAATAATATCTGGCTTACAGTAAGTGTTCCATTAATGTAAAGGAAGGCAATACTTCTATGAAGTGGGAAGTTAGGGAACTATGATCCACAGTTACTGGAAATTTGAAAGTTTAAAAGTCCAAATGTAGGGGGTTCTGTGGAGGGCAGAATTTGGCCTGCCAAAATGTCCACATCTTAATCCAGGAAACCTGTGGATAAGTGACCTTACATGCCAAAAGGAACATGGAAGATGTAATGAATTTACTAATCCTGAGATCAGGAGAGTATCCTGGATTATCCAGGTGAGTCTAATGTAATCACAAATACAAGAGAGAGGAAGAAGCCAGAGTGATGCAAGAGGGGAGGGTCTGAAGCTCTCCATTGCTGTCTTTGAAGATAGAAGAAGGGATCATAAGCAAAGGAATGCAAAACACTGAGATGAGTTTCATTTTTAAAAGCACAGCACGTAGAATCACAAAGCACAGGATAAGTTTTGTTTGAAAAAGCATGCGTACTTCTGTCATTCAAGATCTCCTGCTCAGTGCTGGCAAAGTGTCACCCATGACACTAAGCCTCCATTCTCACAACTAACACTCTTGAAGCTTCACATCTTTTGCCCTACATGTACCCCAAAAGAAAATTGTATGCAAATGCAATTGTGCCACTGCTGACATCAGAGAGGGGCACTGCTTTAGAGTACAGGGAGCATTTGAGTGGTAGAAGTCCTTAGGTAACAGAAGAGACAAATTAACCCATTTTTCTTCTTTAATAGAATGAATGCAATGGATTTTTCCATAATATGGCTTCCCACAAGTGACAAATTTTGATTTCCTTTTTTTTAAAAAATTTATATTTCTAGAAATACACACCAATTAGCATGGTATTCTTAACAGTTACATAGCAACTGAAGAACATTTTTCAATATTAAATGACTCATATTTTCATAGCTTTCTATTTATATAGGTTTAGAGCTAATATATATAAAGTGTAATATCATTTCTTTACATGAGCAAGAATAGACATTGAAAACTGGAATGGTTTTATTTTTATAGAACTACTTAATCGCTATTTAAATTAAAAAGTTGGCCAGGCACAGTGGCTCATGCCTGTAATCCCAGCACTTTGGGAGGCTGAGGCAGGGAGATCACCTGAGACCAGGATCAGCCTGGCCAACATGGTGAAACCCCATCTCTACTAAAATACAAAAAATTAGCTGGGTGTGGTGGCAGGCGCCTGTAATCCCAGCTACTCGGGAGGCTGAGGTGGAAGAATCGCTTGAACCCTGGAGGCGAAGGTTGCAGTCAGCCAAGATCGCACCATTGTGATTATTAATTTAAAAATTAATAATTTTTTTAAATTTCCTCTAAAGTTATGTTTTATTTCCCTAACATTGATTTTAGATTTCATATTTATTAATTATAATTCATATATTTTAATTTAATGATGTTTGAAAATTTAAGAGAAAATAACTTTTGTATACATGGTAACAAATTTTTATTTTTAAAGTACAATTTACATTGTTATTAAAATATACTAAAATTTTGCACACTTTGCAATTTAGTTTCCTAAATCTTTATATCATTATTTTCATTGAATACAAGCTATTCCAAAATCTTGATTGTAACAGCATAATGAAGGATTTTGATGAAATAAGGGTGAGAAAAACAAATCCCTTTGAATAAACATGTAATAGTTTATTAATAAAGTACAACTTTGTTTTGGTCCCCACCCAAACATTTCCAGTCAATAGAGTAAATCCAGATCTGTGTTATATTTTTAGTTCCTTTTGACATTTTAACAACTTTAAGTGATAATAAAAACCATAGCTTTATATTTTTTGATAGAGTTATTATGGATCTATAGTTGTCAAGATTAGAGAATACAACATATTTAATTTAACTGTTTAATAGGTTGATTTAGAGCTTTAAAATATTGCCGGGCGTGGTGGCTCATGCCTATAATCCCACCACTTTGGGAGGCCAAGGCAGGCAGATCACAAGGTCAGGAGTTCGAGACCAGCCTGACCAACATTTAATAGAGGTGGGTGAAATCCCACCTCTGGGAGACAGAACAAGACTCTGTCTCAAAAAAAAAAAAAAGAATTTTAAAATATTTATGCATAATGACCTCCATTTTCTTTCCTGTTCCAGGGTCTTGGAAGTAGCAGACGTAATTATTATTAATCCCATTTTACAGCTAAGGATTCTAGGGCTTAGAAAGGCAAAGAAAGATGTTCCTCAGCCAATGGTGTGCTGGAAAAAGGCTCTCCAAAATGAGTGAATGAATGAATCATTTTGAAAAATGCTAATTTGTAGCATTTGATGATTTCTGTGGTGTAAATACTCTCACCAATATTACTTTCAAGATGTCAATATTTCTTCAACCAGCTTTAAAAAATCTCCTGAAAATTTAATAGTCTTTCATAAATGATATGGTTTGGCTTTGTGTCCTCACCCAACTCTTATCTGGAATCGTAATCCCCACTTGTCAAGGGAGAGACCTGGTTAGACGTGATTGGATCATGGGGTGGTTTCGCCCATGCTGTTCTCATGATAGTGAGTGAATTCTCATGAGATCTGATGGTTTTATAAGAGGATCTTTTCCCTTCACTCTTCCGTTCTTCTCTCTGCTGCCTTGTGAAGAGGTGTCTGCTTCCCCTTTGTCTTCCACCATGATTGTAAGTTTCCTGAGGCCTCCCCAGCCATGTGGAACTGTGAGTCAATTAAACCTTTTTTCTTTATAAATTACCCAGTCTGGGGTAGTTCTTCATAGCAGTGTGAAAACGGACTAATACAATATATTAGCATAAAGCTAGTTCCAGCACACCACTCCCAAGTCACAGGACTAGTAAAGTGATTGAAGCAGATGTTTGCTCCTGAGCTGTCCTTGGACAACAGGGCACTGTCCCTCAGCCATGAGCATATGCTTCTTGTGTCTCAGTTCCATGGTCTTCTATTTACGAATTGGGAAACGACCTCATTAGCCTACCTGTGCTGAGACCTTTTAAATCCTACTCTCCTACCCACTATGAGTTTGGAGGAACTAAACACAAAATATTCAGTCATGCATCACTACAGCATTGTTCATGATTTTGTTGTTGTGCGAACATCAGAATATACTTACATAGACTAGATGGTATAGCTTACTACACATGTAGGCTGTATATTATAACTTGCTTCTAGGCCACAAACCTGTACAGCATGTTACTGTACTGAATACTGTAGACAAGTGCAGCACAATGGTAAGTATTTGTGTATCTGAGGTTTAGATGCTGACATTAGGGCTGTACCTTATTGGGATTTCAGCTGAGTCCCTTGTTGTTATTTAGCTATGTTGCTACTTCATTTGCATTTCAAATGAAAAGCCAGAAACTGCTCCCTTTTATCCAGAATTTTCATCACCACATATTTACAGATTAAAGTCCACCAAGAGCAAGGTCACTTGTGCATTATTTGGAATGCAGAAGATATATAGAGGACATTATTTTCAGGAGGCAATTACAGGCAGACATGGGAAGACAAGGGGTTTGAAACCACTCAGTGGGAGAGTTTCTTCAGAATCACTTGCATCCTGAGGGATTTCCAGGAAAACACTTAAGAACAACCTGCTTTGGTCTTTTGTTACTGGCTACACTGTCAGTAGCGACTTCCTTGGTCTCTTCTCCAGCACTTTTGATTCTTGTATTAATTCTCCTAAGTCTGATAGAAACAAACAAACAAAAAAAACCAACCTTCACACTAAGAGTATATCCAGCAGCTTCTATTTTCCTGATTAAACCTTGACTGATAGAGAATTCTAGGTGAAAAGGGCTTTCTCCCATTCTCCTTGTATAGTTTCTAAAACAATAACATTTCCAAGACTATTTCATTTCATAAGTAATTTTGCTAGATGTGAAATTGTTATTTTAATTACAGAATATTACAGTCAGCCATCTTTTCAATGCATACATGACATTATTTCACATGTGTACACACCGTAGTTTATCCCTATTCCTATTGATGAACATTTGAAAATATTTTCCAGTTTTCAGCTATGTTATACACCGCTGTGATTAACGTCTGTGCACTTCAATATCTGTCTGAATTTTGTATTTTTCCTTAGCACAAATTCTTGTCCTGAATATAACTATTTGGAAACAACTTTTGTCTCTTCTGCTCAAAATACCTATCAATTGCTTTCTACAGGCCAGACATTGTGTTAGTTACTGGGGATGCTGTATTGAAACAGACAAACATAGACTCCTCCCTAGCAGAGTTCACAGTTGAGCTGGACTACAGTACAGCAAAAAGGCAAATAACATAGTTTGCAGCCAGCCTGGCCAACATGGTGAAACCCCGTTTCTACTAAAAATACAAAAGTTGGTCGGGCATGGTGGCTCATGCCTGTAATCCCAGTACTTTGGGAGGCTGAGGCAGGTGGATCATGAAATCAGGAGATCGAGACCATCCTGGCCAACGTGGTGAAACCCCATCTCTACTAAAAATACAAAAATTAGCTGGGCACGGTGGTGCACACCTGTAATCCCAGCTAGTCGGGAGGCTGAGGCAGGAGAATCACTTGAACCAGCGAGGTGGAGGTTGCAGTGAGCCGAGATCGCACCACTGCACTCCAGCCTGGGCAACAGAGCAAGACTCCATCTCAAAAAAAAAAAAAAAAAAAAAAAAAGAAACTTAGCCAAGTGTGGCGGCACATGCCTGTAGTCCCAGCTACCCGGGAGGCTGATGCAGGAGAATCGCTTGAACCTGGGAGACGGAAGTTGCAGTGAGCCAAGATTGCACCACTGCACTTCAGCCTGGGCGACAGAGCAAGTCTCTGTCTTAAAAAAAATGCAAATGACAATTGTTATGACCCTTATACGGAGGAGTATATAGTATTGGGTAGGAAGACCTCCTGGCGGAAATGACGTTTACTGCAATTAAAGAACAGACAGGAACTAAGCAGTAAAGCATGATGGCAGAAACAAAAGCACAGTAAAGGCCAGCTTATGAGAGAAGAGGGTATTTTGATATAATTGAAAGAAGTTCATAATTCTGAGAGTAGAAGACATGAAAGGGAGGCCATGGCATGGGTGAAAGTGGACATGTGCTTAGGAGCCAGCTCATTCAGGGCCTGGTAGGCCACCTTAGGTTTTAGAATTTAACTTGAGTGTAACGGGTAGCCATTGGAGAGCTTTCAGCACTGTAACTGGGGACATTGATAAGCAGTACATTGGAGGAGGAGAGATAATAGGCTTACTGTTGAACAAATTGAATTTGAGGTACTTGTGGGACATCCAAGGGAAGCTCCCTAATAGGAGGTTAAGTACATAAGTCTAGACCTCCAGAAAGGTGATCTGATTGGAAACACAGATTTGGAAATTATTCTATATTGAAGCTGGATATGTTTAGGTGGATCAGGGTCATCTGTGGCGTACTCTGGCTACTGCCTACATCAGAGTTATCTGCTATCTCTTAGAAATGTACATACCAAAATAGTACCTCAGACCTGATGAAACGGACTATCTGTGAGAAGTACTTACGAAATTTCCATTTTGAACAGGCTACCCAGGTGATTTCTTTGCACACTAAAACATAAAAATCATGGTCTACAGATAGTCTATATCAGGAATCCTCATCCTGGGTGCATATTGGAATTACTTGGACAGATCAATTATATACAGTACATATGCCAAGGATCATTCCTGAACATTTGGTTTGACTCCTTCCTAGCCACTTGGTCTCAGTTTCTCCCCATCTTCTGCTATGTATGGGAATCCACTCCCCAAATTAGCATAACAATTCTTAATTGTTTGAAATTCCTCAGATGTGCCATCCTGCTTTACCCTACTAGCTGTCCCTATCCTGCAGTACTGTAAGCAATCCATTTTCACTTGGCTAGCCTCTGCTCAGTCTCTAAGACTCAGTTGAGATATCCTCTCTTCCAGGAAGCTTTCCCTGATGCCCCTCAACCCTCTATATTGGTTGATCCTTCTTTGTGCTTCTGCTGGTTCTTCATATATCAAAGCACATAGGTCATTGCGTTGGAATTAGCAGTTTGCATGTCTGCTTCTCTACTAGTGGATGAAGTCCTCAAGATTCTGTTTTATTTTATTCTTCTTTCTAGTTCCCTAAATCTTATACTGTGCCGACCTTGCAGTAAGCCTGTAGGATGTGCTGTGTTTGTTGAACTGAACTGGATTTTGGCTCCTCTACTTATTAGTACTATGTATTTGTGCAAATCAATTGACGTCTTTGAGTGTCAGTTCTTTAATCCGTGACTCAGAGATGTTTTCTGTCCTGCCTGCATTGTATCATGGAGTTGTTATGCAGATTACATGAGATTAAAGATGAGAGAATGCTTTGTTTAATATAAACCACTATTAAGCCATGAGTTAGTGATTATTACAAAATGATGGTATTAAGTAGAATATTGTATTTGCATGAGGATTTTGACTTTGGACGATAAATGATGGTGTCATCATTGCTCAAAATACTTGTGGATTTCATCTTGTTGCACTATCTTTGCTGATTTATGATGACGGTAATCTGAATGTTTGAAGGCTGCACCAGTCTTGAATACAATCACACTGATACTTGGCTCTAGGCATCCATGAAGTGTTATGACTGTGTTTCCTTCCTTGTGGGCCTGGGTGGTTTACGATGCTCCTAGGCAGCCATCGCAATTTTCAGATCCTTCAAAATCAGCATCCTTTCATGCAATTCCTACAGCTGTGTTCTATATTCCTGAAGGGGAAGATGGCTTTCTGCCAAGGAATTATAGCCATTTCAATCAACCTTGAGACATTAAATAACTGTAGATCTTACAGTCTCAGAAAGATTCCCTGATTCTTTCAACTTCCTGAGCCCTTCTGTGAATAAACGTAAGTAAGTTACATTGGAACACCATCTTCCTGATCTACCTGCTTATGTCCACCACGAACCTTTATTCCAAAGTGGAGACTAACTTTCTCTTCCCTTGAGGTGAGTCCCCAGTATTATCAGAGTATCCTTTTCATTTTCCTACTGTGGACAGCGTTGGAGAAATTTTGATCCCCAAGTTATATGTCTTTTTGTTCCATGTCCTAGGGCTCCCCAAATCCCTTTAAGTCAGAGACTAAAGCTGCAGCCTTTTTTGACTGGCTCAGTATCTTTCATATAGTAGATACTTGACAAATATTTGCTGAATTGAATCACTAAAACTCTGTTCTCATTATTATACAGTCATACTTCATATACTAAACCAAAGATCTTCTTCCTTGTTACAGAAATAATTTCAATTACACATATTTTCAAAAACCAAGGTTGAAATTGAATATTTACTTTTTCCCCAAAGCAAGGAACTCTAAGAAAAATGTGTGATACCCACTTGCCATACAAATGTGCTCTCCTTACACACTATTCTATGCTTGACCCAGTACAAGGAGGCAAAGTACAGTGAGGGTGTTTTTTTTTTTTTCTTTCCAGTAATTAGTTTAAATACATACCAATCCAGACTCTGTTATTTGTCTTCCTTACTCCTGTGGCCTGTAGTTTCAGAGCCAGTATCTAGATCTGAAAAACACTGGAAACCTAATTAATTCAAATGGGGAATCACAAGTAGGTCAGGTCCAATGCCATATCCCGAGATTCTTAGATGGAAGAATATACCTGAGGTCTGTTCAGATTTCAGGGGGCAAGCCTAAAACCTCCAAAGAAAGGTCTGCTTTTCTGCATAATACAAGCACATCACCTGCAAGTAATCTGAGACGTTAAAAAGCAAATTAAAAAAGAGTGGCAGAGCAGCTGATTCTGTAGACTTTCTTCTGACCAGCTTCACAACCCTTTAGAGGCAGATGGGACACTAAAGAATGTCTAGTCCCATTGTCTGCTTTTACGTACAGGTGACACGGGACTTGAGTGAGCACAGCACAGCAGTTATGGGCATGGACCAAGGAGCCTCATGCAAATCCCAGCTCCAAACCTCACAAACTGTGTGAGCTTGGGAACGCCCTTCGAGTTTCCTGATCCTTATCTCTCAGGTGGATCAAATGAGCTAAAGAGTCTGATGCAGTGGCCTGACGGGCAAAGCCGGTGGGTGCCTGTCGACAGGGATCTAGCTGTTGCTTTTGTCAGTCTTTGTCTCCTCAGCTAAGGACTGTGTTCCGGAGTTCCCAGGACTATGTTCCTTCCCTCTCCTGAACCTCCAGGAACCACAAGCACCCGCCAAGCTTCGTTCCTGAGGTCAGGTTCAGGCACTGCTGACTGTGCCACAGCCAGCAGGTGACCAGGGAGCAGTGCTGGATGGCTTCTGTATGGGAGAATAACTTCACCCCGCATTGGAATGCAGGACTTCAGTGAGCCACAGTGAGGGACTTGAGTGTAAAAGGAGAAGCAGGTAAGTCTCGGCAATCTGAGGCAGAAACTATCCCTAAAGAGGGAGTTAGTTGTCCAAGTCCCATGAGAGAAAAGTGACAGTGTGCCAGGTGATAGTATGGCAAGGTAACAGTGGGGAGGATAGAGGGAGGGCAGCAGTGTATTGGGGTGCAGGACTTGGTGGGTGCATGGAGAAGTGGGGTTTCACTCCACTCTGCTTCAACCACACTGGACTCCTTGCTGCCCCTGGATCGTGCCAGGCTCATTCCCTAATTAGGGCCTTTGCACTGGCTGCTGCTTCATACTGGGATGATTCTTCTCTATACATCCATGGCACTGACCCTCTTACACCTTTTAGGTCAAATGCCACCTTTTCACTGAGGCCTATGCTGGATACCTTTTTGAAAATTGCAGGCTTCCCTCACCCCGAGGCACATCCATTTTGCTCTACCCTACTGTATTTTTTCTTTATTCCACAGAACTCATCACCTCCTAACCTATTATATAATTAACTCATTCTTTGTGCCTATGGTCTCTTGTCTGCCTCATGCCACTAGAAGGTTAGGACAATAATCTTTCTTTTGTTCACTGATATGTTTCACACTTCTGGAATAGTGCTTTGTTCAAAGCAGATACTTCAAAAATGTTTCCTGAATGAATGAAGGCCTATCACAATATAACACAGGGCTATGTATTTTTTATAGCCTAGAATGGACACGTACACACATATGTATACACATGCATGTGTGTATATCAAAATTATGCCATCTTAAGCTTTGATATTCCATTAGTAATGTTAATTGTGACTGATTTCACAAGTATTACTTACTCCAATATTTTAGAACTACTTCCAAATAAATGTAGTGGAATTAAATACTAGAAGTGTGTTGTTCAGTGGCCATGGATCATAAAAGTTTTGGAAGATCTGGTTATGTAATTGAATAGATTACATTCCAGATTAAATAACTGCAACTTTTACATTCTAACACTTTATAATACTAACAGTCTATAACAATTCTCATCGTAACTATATACAACTATAGCTATAGCCAAAAACTATAATTATAAATACACCTATAACTAACTAATCCTATAACTCTGTATTACTATACCCATAATCAACTTTACAACTACAGCCAACCACGAGTACACCAAACCTAAGTATAACTAACCACAACTCCAATTAGCCATAACTAGAGACCACAACTAGTTATTATCCACAGCCAGTAACCACAACTTGTTAACAAGAACACATAGTAACCACAACTACGTAGAAGCCACAAAACAGCAACTACAAAGTAGAAACCATGAGTACTTAGCACCCACAAAGCAGAATCATAACTAGTTTGTAGTCACAAATTCACAATCACAACTTGTTATCACCCCCAACAAGGTAACCAGCACTAGTCAACAGTCAGAAGTAACTACAACATTTTAGTAGCAACACATTGTAGCCATGACTAGTTAGTAGTCACGAACTGGTAAGTACAAGCTATTCTCAACCCAGCCACCCCAACTACTTAATGATCACAAACTGGAAAACTTCAACTAGTTAGTAGCCCAACATGGTAACCAGAACTCATTAGCAGCCACAAATTGGCATCGGCTACTAATCATTAACCAGTTGGTTAACTATGACTAGTTAGCAGCCACAATCCAGTAACTACCACTAGTTTTTAGCCACAGCACAGTAACCACAACTAGTTAGTAACTGTGCCTAGTAACAATGAATAGTTAACAGTTGTAAACCAGAAACTGCAACTAGTTTGTAGCTACAACCAGCAACCACAACTAGTTAGAACTTATAACTATAATACTAGCCATAATTGATCATAACTATAGCTGGTAACCATAAAAGGTAGTATTTGTGACCAACCATAACTAATCATAGCTAACTATATGACTATGAGTATCATGAAATATAACTACTACTTTAACAAATTTGAAAACAAATCTGATGGTACAGAAACTGCCTACATAAAGCATTCTGGAAATATATTTAGATGCATTTGGTGTTAGGATATGTAGGAATCCTACATATGTAGGAATGTGAGGAAGAAGGGAATGTCGAGTGCTTTGGGAAAGCTGGACTGTCAATAGTGTGTGTAGGTTCTGCTCTGAGGTGTATGCTCTTTATGAAAGGCTGCTATTCTGGGGGCTACTCCTTGGGTAAAACAAAGGCAAAGTAGTCAACCTTTAGTCTATGATTAGTTCAAGGCTGGGAGTTTCATTTACTGGGGCTGAAGCAGAGAGAATGACTGTTAGTTCTAAGAATAGGGCCTGGTGAAATGACACAAATAAAGGCTGACTGCTCATGTATGTAAGTTTAATTATTGTAAGAGATGGGTTTGGGGAAGTAGTAATATCCATTGAAAAGCATTTATCAATCCAGGGAGGCAGAACAGGGCACATATGTAATTGCGTGTTTTGTTGAAAGAGGTTTTTTTGTTCTATTTTTATTTTTATTTTTTTAAGTAGCTAATAATGGAGAAAGAGAGTGAGATAGGAGCAAAAATTTGGTTCTATATGGGCATTGCTTTACTCAGCTTAGAGCCACTTCAGATTACATGGCTCTTCTCTGTCCTGGGACTAGCTATGCATACAACAAAAATGTCTTATGGCATTCTAATTATGTTGGAGCAGAGATTATCAATGGATCATCTGTTGGCCTACTCTTCAACAGGTCCTCCTCTTCAAAGTGAATTGGCTCCCATTCAAGGCTGAATAGCACTGGGCTGACATTGGTAAGTCTTCTGGAGAAGGTTTCTGAATGTGTGGGAAATCAGACAACTAATGACTTTTAGCAACCCATGTTGCCTCTACTCTTCCTTTGTACTTGCTTTTTTCTGGAACATGCTCTCACCCATGGTTATCAAGTACACGTAACAATTGGGATGAAGTCGTCCTCATGCCCACTAGAGTGAGCTTGTGGCAATACTATTTTACAGTGGGATGGCCACATTCTCTAACTTTATGTCTTGACTCTGTGTTAGGGTAGATTGGGGTTAGGATATGGAGTAATATTTGGTGTGGCATTGGATTCAGTGGTCACTGGTAGGAGTATCTGGGAAGTACCTGGGTTGTCTCAGTTGTGTACTTGGAGTAAGGACTGCAGACCAGGTAAACCAATCACGAAGTTGTGAACATCTGGCCTCTAATTAGTTTGGAGAATGAACTTGCAATGGCTTGGTAACAGAAGAGACATGAGGTAGGCAGATGCTAACAGATGAGGTTGAGTGACAGCCAATCACAGAACTGTGGCATGGAGGAGAGGAACCATATTTGGAGGTGGGAGTGGGGAACAATGATCAGAGATCAGGTGTCCTTGAGAGGAGCTTCTTTTACTGTGTGCCATTGAGGAATGGAGTGGTAAGATAAGACAGACCCAAGCAGGATCCCCCTGAACCTGGGAAGTGGCTGCCTTGGGGCTATTATCATACTTTCAGGTGCTACCCTGAGAAGATTCATATCTGATGGAAGTTAAAGAGTGTGAGATTTTTCAAAAAAAAGCAGAAATGCCTTCTGTATACCTGGCAGCAGTAATTTATATTATGTGACTACAAAAGCAGAACTTTTTGAATAATAAAAATTAAAATGCGCACATATTCAACGCAAGGGACAACTATGATGTCACCAAAAATGGAATGATTGTCCCACATAGTTGAAAGCAATCTGCCACTGGACATGCTTAAAGAAAGGCTGAACAAACAGCTTTCATGGATTCTGTAATCTGAGTTAGATGTTTGGATGGATGACTTTTGTAGCCTTCTTACTCTGAAATAATATGATCCTTATGTGATGAAAATGATAAAATGATAGATTCACTAAGGCAGCCATGTAATAGTTACCAAATTCCATCCATGTTTCTCCATCCCATAGCACATTCTTATTCCTCTTGTTACTTGATTTTTTTAATAGCAATGAGCACAGTTGATTATTCTCTACTTTCTGAAATACTATCATCACCTGACTTCTGGGACACTGCTCTCTCCTGGGTTTCCTCCTCCCGTTTTTTTGTTTGTTTGTTTGTTTGTTTGTTTGTTTGTTTTTTGAGACGGAGTCTCGCTCTGTTGCCCAGGCTGGAGTGCAGTGGCACGATTTCAGGTCACTGCACGCTCCACCTCCCGGGTTCATGCCATTCTCCCGCCTCAGCCTCCCGAGTAGCTGGGATTACAGGCATCTGCCACCACGCCCGGCTAATTTTGTGTATTTTTAGTAGAGTCGGGGTTTCACTGAGTTAGCCAGGATGGTCTCGATCTCCTGACCTCGTGATCCACCCACCTCGGCCTCCCAAAGTGCTGGGATTACAGGTGTGAGCCACCGCGCCCGGCCTCCTCCTCCTTTTCTGATTGCTCTTTTTCCATCTCCTTTGCTGGATCCTCCTCATCTCCTCAGCTTGAAAACATTGAAGTGTCCAGGACTTGAATGTTTTCACTTTTCTCCTATCCAAGTACTAACCAGGCCTGACCCTGCTTAGCTTCCAAGATCAGCTGAGATAAGGCACATTCAGAGTGGTATAGCTCTAGACTATTTTTACTTTTCTATTTACAGTTCTTATATTGCCTCACCCAGGATCATGGCTTTACATGCTACGTGTATTCTGATGCCCCCTGCCAGAGTTATATCTTCTGCTTAGACCCCTGTGCAGAACTCCTGATTCACATATCTAGCTACTCATTGAGCATCTACAACTGGATTTCTGTTAGATGTTGCAAAATTAATCTGTCCAAAACCAAAGACCTGATTTTCCCAGCTAAATCTGCTCCTTTCATGTGTTTCCTTATTTCAGGAAATTACACTGCATTCCTTTCATTGCTCTGGCCAAAAAACTTGGAGCCACCCTTGTTTTTTCTCTCTCACGCCCCACATCAAACCCATTAGCAAATACCATTGGCTGTAATTTTATAATGTATCTGGAATATGACCACTTTATACTACACCCATTGATTTGACGTCAACGTTCTTATAATGAGCCACAGAGCTCTATTCCATGTGCCACTTTGCTCTGTGACCTCATATCCTACGACTTTCCTACCTAGTTTCATGGAATCTTGCCATATTATTCTCTTTTGTTGTTACTTACAGACAATAGGCATGTTATTGCCTTGTGGCTCTTGCTTGCATTAGCTGTTCTCTTATTTTGGAATGTTCTTCCTTTAGATATCTACATGGTTCATTTATTCACTTCCTTTACATATTTACTTAAATGTCAGTGAGACCTTCTCGAGCTACCTCATCTAAAATGGCAACTCCCACACCACCCTTCTTCTCCCTGGTATATTTTTCTCCATAGCCTTTTGCACCATCATCTAACGTCCTCTATATTCAACTTATATTGCCACTATGTGTCTCCTCTGCTACCATTTAAGCTCCAGGAGAGTAAGGATTATTGTTTATTTGTTTATTACTTTATCTCTAAGGTCTAGAAGAGCATCCGGTGTATAGTAAGCACATAATGAATATTTATATTAGTTAGGATCTAGATTTGGTTGCTAGAATAGAGACCCAAAGTTAAGAGTGGCTTAAACAAGATTAAAGTGTTTTTTTTTTCTCACATAACAGGCTTGATGTGAAAAATTAATGGCTGCTGTAAGTGATACACAGGGTCAGAGACTCAGATTCCTTCTCTCTTATTATCCTCCTGTTTTTAATGTACTGAATCAGACAGCATGGTCCAACATGGCTCACCACTTCACTAAGTCTTTATTCCGGTGTGAAGCAAAGGGAAAAGAAGGAGGAGGTGACCCTTCCACTCACATCCCATTGTCCATATCTTTATCACACTGTCACACATTGTCTGAAAGGAGGATGAGGCGTAGAGCCTTTATTTCTGGGGATCCCTATGCACAACTAAATCAGGGGTTCTTTTACTTCAAAAGAAGGAAAGAATAATTAAAAAAAATAAAAGAAGGGATATTGGTGATCAACTAGCAATCTCTAGATCTCTGCTATTGTACCCAATCAACGATCTAGGTAAATGGCCAAGGGGTTAATTAACATCGTTCAATCTGGATGGGTACCTGGGTGTTTGTAATTCTTTTCTGTATCCTTGAAACGTTCCAAAATGGCAAATATAAATTTAAATATACATTTAAAAATATAAATATAAATTTAAAAGAAACAAAATACACTTTTATTAAACTATAAGACGTTAGTATCTACCTGGGCACAAAAGATATTCCTGGCCACATGGCCCACGGTCCGTGCCTTTAGGCTGGTGGCAGTAGTGTACATAACATTTTATCTCCTCTGGAAATAAGCAATGAGCTTATTTATCCAGGTTTCATCAACTTATGATTTGCCTTCCTCTCCCTACCTTTCTATCTCGCACATTGACACTCTCTTTCCTCATGTAGCCCAACAGGAGATATTCTGCCATAAGGAGACCCTGTTTTTCTCCCACATGGGGCCTGGATGGACCCTCTCTGCTCCTAGGGCACTAAGCCTTTCCTAAAATTTGGCAGCATTTTTAATCACAGGTTTAAAATACTCTAATAATTTATATTTCTTTAATCTCTTTCCTCTGAAATCTCTGTTTTGATAAAAAGCGTCTTTATTTCTTGTTTGTTTCCTAGAAATAAATTGTGGAATGGTTATGATGCTCCCTATTCACTTCAACCTCAGCCTGTTCCCAGTTAATTGATGTAATAACTCAAAATTGCATAAGTATTTTCAAAGCTATGTTTGTGTGTAGGAGGGATTGAGATCTGTGATTTAAAATATCTACGCCTACTCAGAAACATACTATTATATTAAATTGAAAAGGAAAAAATTGGCCAGACACAACTGAAATTCCAGAGAGAGATTACAATAAATTCACAAAGCCTGTGATGATAGCTGCACTAGTTTACTACTGCTACCACAAATCCCAAATGAAATATTTTACATATTCTTTATTTCTTATGATTCAATTTAATTGTAATTGTGGTGAGGGAGCAGGGCATACTTAGTGGTAAATATGGAAGGCTCAAAGTGAAAGTCATGAACTTTGATCAGTGATGTCCTGTCAACTGCGTTACTAACCAGAATGTCAAGTTACCCTGGCAGTTTTATTTTTCTTTATGCCTACAACTGAAGGAAGACTCAAAGAAAAAAAAAATGCAAAAGCTTCCTCAATGCTCATTTATCAGTTCTAGCAAAATCCTGTCCCTCCTGCCTGGTTTCATAAACTAATAGAACTCCGTTTAATGGCTTCATGTAGTTTGAGTTGATGTGTCATTTGACACCAAAATAATCTTGACTACTGAATCACTGTAATTGCAACCAAAAGCAACAAAAAGAAAAGGATTGATTCTATGTTTCAGTAATAGAGAGGGTACATGAAAATTTCCAATCTCTAGCATTATATACATACAAATAAGTTATAATGTTTTGTTGTGCATGATATTCGTGGCCTTCAAAATGAATCAATAATTGAAAAATCTTTGTGAAAAGGTAATTACTTTAATAATCTTTAAAAAATATTAAGCTCTCTCCTTTTCTTGCTCACTGCGGTGCTGACTAGGCATGTTCGTCCCCGCATTCTCTTGCCACTGCTACTGTTTTGGTTCTTTTTATCTGCTACTACACTGACTTTGTTCTGCCTGCTAGGCTGTGTGTGTCTGTGCATGCGTGCGTGTGTGTGTGTGTGTGTGTGTGTGTGTGTGTGTGTGCGTGCAACAAGGAAGAAATCTCCTTACCTGCAGAACATTTCTCAGATTTACCTGCTTTATCCCATGCAGGTCCTACCTCTTTCCTATATATTAACCTATGGTCCTGCCCTGGAGAAAAGGGGGCTGGTTTCTTTGTAGGGGGCTAAAATACCTTAATTCCCTTGTGAATGAGAAAAGTTACAGCTTTCTGAGTTTTCCCACAATATAGGTTGTCTGAAATGTAATGAGCTAATCATTTTATGGAGATGTAGCCTACATCCAGTTAACAGTGTATAGTTACCCATCATGCCTCCATGCATTTTCTATCAGCCGTCCACCTCACCCCACATAAGGCCATTGTGTGAAATTGGAGCAAGAGGTTCCAACATAAAGGGAAAATAACACAGCAAGGAAAATAAAGCTGGGCAGGTGAGCTCAACACCCTCATGAGGATATGCTGCTTCCAGAGCCAAATGTGGAGGTTTTGGTTTTATTCCAGAAATTTCTGCTGCTGCCTTCAGAAGCCTAATACAGATATGAAGATGGACTTGCTCTTTGCATCCACCTTCAAATTATTTTATTCTTGCTCAGGCTTTCTCTGTAAAAATTATAAAATCTCTTAATAACATTTTGTGACTTGAAAATGGTAATGATAGATGATGTGGGGCTTATAATTCATGAAGAGGCCACTGTGTCCTCAGTTTTTTATTAAAAAGTAGCATCAACTGACAGAATTGCATGTTCATTGAGGCTTTAGAGAAACTACAATAAAGTGATGAAATAGCAGGCTGTTATTCCATTTACTGGTTATTTGTCAGTAGTTTTTGACATATGTTATGCATTCTGCATCCATGTGATAAATATTTTGACTACACAGATTCTTTATAAGATATAATCTTATTTTTAAATAAATGTAAATATAATTTTTAAATTTTAAAAATTATGTTAAATGCAACTATTTGCAATTTTATTTTCCTTTGACATACACAGAGTTTCTCAGAAATATTACAGAACTAAATTTATACATACCAAGATTGATGCTCAGTATGTCTTGGTAGCTCATCTGTTACCCCTTAAAAATGTTCCAGTTTTTAAAGCCAGGTGTGGCGGCTCACGCCTGTTATCCCAGCACGTTGGGAGGCTAAGGTGGATGGATTCCTTGAGCCCAGGAGTTCAAGACCACCCTGGGCAACATGGTCAATCCCCTTCTTTACCAAAAATACAAAAAATAGCCAGGCATGGCAGACACCTGTAGTCTCTGCTACTCTGGAAGCTGAAGTCAGAGGATCGCCGGAGCCAAGGAGGTCGAGGCAATCCTAAGCAAAAAGAACAAAGCTGGAGGCATCATGCTACCTAGCTTCAAACTATACAGAATGGCTACAGTAACCAAAACATGATGATACTGGTACAAAAACAGGCACATAGACCAATGGAACGGAACAGAGAACCCAGAAATAAGACTGCACACCCACAACTATCTGATGTTTGAAAAACCTGACAAAAACAAGCAATGGGGAAAGACTCCTTATTTAATAAATGGTGTTGGGATAACTGGTTAACCATATGAAGAAGATTGAAACCAGACCCCTTCTTACACCATATACAGAAATGAACTCAAGAGGGATTAAACACTTAAATGTAAAACCCAAACTATGCAAAAACTGATAGACAACCTAGGCAATACCATTTAGGACATAGGCATGTGCACAGATTTGATGAAGAAGATGACAAAAGCAATTGCAATAAAGCAAAAATTGACCAATGGGATCTAGTTAAACTAAAGAGCTTCAGCACAAGAAGAGAAACTATCAACAGAATAAACAGAACACCTACAGAATGGGAGAAAATTTTTTCAAACTATACATCCAACAAAGGTCAAATATCCAGCATCTATAAGGAACTTAAACAAATTTACACACAAAAGAAAAACACCAAACAACCACATAAAAAAAGGTGGGCAAAAGATATGAACAGACACTTTTTAAAAGAAGACATACATGTGGCCAACAATCAGATAATAAAATGCTCAACATCACTGATCATTAGAAACATGGAAAGCAAAACTGCAATGAGATACCATCTCACAGCAGTCAGAGTGACTATCATTAAAAAGTCAAAAAATAACAGATGTTGGCAAGGTTGTGGAGTAAAAGAAATGCTTATACACTGTTGGTGGGAGTGTAAATTAGTTCAGCAATTATGGAAGACAGTGTGGCGATTCCTCAAAGACAGAAATACCATTCAATCTAGTGATCCTATTACTGGGTATATACCCAAAGAAATATAAATCGTTCTATTATAAAGACACATGCATGCATATGTTCATTGCAGCACTATTCACAATAGCAAAGACATGGAATCAACCCAAATGCCCATCAATGATAGACTGGATAAAGAAAATGTGGTACATATACACTGTGGAATACCATGCAGCCATAAAAAAGTATGAGACCATGTTCTTTGCAGGGACATGGATGGCGCTGGATGCCATTATCCTTAGCAAACTGACATAGGAACAGAAAACCAAATATCGCATGTTCTCACAAGTGGGAGCTAAACGATGAGAACACATGAACACATAGAGGGAAATGACACATACTGGGGCCTTTTGTAGGATGGATGGTGGGAGGAGGGACAGGACCAAAAAAAAAACAACAACTAATGGATACTAGGCTTAATACCTTGGTGATGAAATAATCTATACAACAAACTCCCATGATACAAGTTTACCTATGAAACAAACCTGCACTTGTACCCCTGAACTTAAAATAAAAGTTAAAAAGAGTGAGAGAGATATATATATATATAGTTTATACATGTGATATATATATAAAAATATAAATATGTATTATATATGCACCACTCTGCCTCTGCTGGTGAAGGAGTAGGGATGGTGTAATTCAAGACTGTTTTCCTACCTCTTCAGTACCTCTTTCAGTGCTATGAAGATAAAACTGTGCACTGTGAGTGCTCACCTGATTTTTGTTTCTTATGAAGGTGGCTTTTTTGTGTAGATAGTTGTTAATTTTGTGTCCTTGTGAGGGGGACGACCAGTGGAGCCTTCTATTCTGTCATCTTCCTCTGCTACAAGTTCTTTGTGTGTCTCTGTTTCACCAAATTAAAAATTAAAATGTGATTCATGGAAGCTTAAACAGTCCTAAAATTCAATAAATGTGTGCCACTTCCTGCACCATGTTACCATATTAAAATTGACATTACTCAGTATACACATGACAGTGATTTTGGAGGTGGAAAACTGAGTAGATAGGGTAGCCCAGTAGACACAGGAAGTGGATGAGAGGCAGGAAAACCCACAGAGAGAAGAGTCACTAGATGACTCACAAAAGTAGTGGTTGTTTCCCTTATCTTGGTTTGTGCTTGTCTCTGGTGGAAAATTATATACCTAAGGAGCTACTGTGAGAGACAGAGGCTCAGGTGAAGAATTGCCTTGTCTAGAAAGGTGACATTTTTACTAAAGTGATCAAGAAGACATGCCTCAAAAGTGCCAAGTCTTAGAACAAGCAGTGGTGTAATGAGAAAAGTGGGCAGCTTAATAGGAACAAGAAAATCCAGGATTCAGTGGTTTGAACCTGATTAAGACATTTAACTTCTTTGAACATCTATTTCCTCTTGTAAAATGGGAGTAATACCTGCTTTGCAAGATTGTTGTGTGAATTAAAAATGATTAAAGTCCCTAATATAGTGTCTGGTACAGTGATTATTCCCATGAAAAAGTAGTTATTATTTAAAACCATGCCAGAGACTCTATAAGCAGCAGAAACAACATGGGAAGAATACAAACCCATTCCAGGAGGTTACTAAAAAGATAAAATGTTGACTAAATAATATCGCCGCTATCAGAGAAGGTAAAATCTGTGTCTTAGAGTGATTTATTTTCTGAGCTTTCTACTTCAGTTGTGTGTTTTAGTCCATCCAGCAGTTTATTTATAGGATTTTTTTATACCTTTTTTCTGGTATACATTTTGTCTCACCAAAGGATCTTGCAACTCTTCAGGCCAAGTTCACCATTAGCAGTGCAAAAGTACCTGGAGTTGCCTCAGTAACTCTACCCTTTACTTATGGCTGGTGCAGTATATCTGCTTCAGTTACTAGTTCTAGTTATTCAGCCAACCTCATGAGGCCTGACGATTGACATGGATTTTGGAAGTCTACGTGATGTGACCCTCTAGTATTTATGTCCTCTTAACACTTATTGTTTATCTGACCTCTTGCCCAAACTCATTTAATGAGTTCAAGTTTCTTTCTGTTCCCTTCAATTCCATTGCTGCCTACAATCCAGCATGGCACTGAGATAGTAAATTAGTCCAACTAACTTTAAACACCTGAGTCACAAACTTGTTCAACCTCCAGATATCAATGGCAAACGAAAATACTGAGAGGATGATTTATTGTTAGGCCAGTGGTAAAAATTTTTTACACGCTTTGGTTTTGTCTGAGCAACAGTTCTATTATCTCTCCAGTAAATTATAGAGCTTTTCTGCACTGAGCAAAATGGGTATATTGTTCTCATTTAGACACTTTTAACTAGAAATCTCACTCAAAATAGGCTCTTAAATAAGCCTGTTTGAACCATTTATGAAAAAGACATAAGAACATCATTTTGTCATATATATATATCTTCTCATTTCCATTTTTTTCTATACAGGAGCTAATTTGAGTTATTTCTTGATAATTTAACAACGTATTTCTGATGTGGACTTTTTAGGTCATTTATAACACATTTATTCTCTACTGGAAAACTTTTACCCACTGCTTACATTACATTTGTCTTCAGAAATAATGTCTGCTGATCCTAGGAAAAAATGGCTTGGATTAAGATGGAAAAGAGAAAAGCAGCCAGTGACATCCAGATGCTGGACTGATACGATCACTGTCTGTGCATTGCCACAAGACAGTATTGCATTCATTGCTAGGCCTTGGTATTCTCCTTTTGAACATAAACAATGTCACAGAACATCAAACAAGGCCACTCTTTGACCGTGATGGATCAAGACAAAAAGACAATTTCGTAATCATTACTGAACACTAGCAAAACACGAACATAGTCCAAGTTAAAAAACATCAAACATTCTCCTACCCTGGCTGATATGAATGGCTGATGCTTCTTTACTAATTACAGCTTTAGCCTCACTCTGGTCTACCTTCCCTATAGATCAGATTTATTAAAATATCCAATCATAGAATTAGCCCACTTCCTAACAGCATCCAATCCAGAGTGAAACCCTCATTCCTTAAACCTTCCTCAAAATAATCTAACATGAGCGCAAATTAAGTTCTTTCTATGATAAGTCCTTTCTATGGTTCACATTCTTCCTTCCTGCTGTCAGTAATAAATACAACTTAATTAATTACATGTTCCTAGTGGTCTTTGCTTGGAGGGCATTGACAGAAATGGAGGTTATCCTAAGATTTAGCTGATGTACTACTCTCTGCTTTGAACCAGGAACCTCTACTCAGTCATAATATGTATATCGGAGATTCCATGTGTTTCTTTCTGTTTGATATTCGACCTTTCCCATGGCTAAAAAGCAAATTCATTATGAATTAAGCTCTACTATTTCACTGAAGCTCTTCAACATTGGGTTTGTTTTATTTTCCTAGGAATACAATGAGGTCAGTTGGAATAATTATGTTACCTGATGAGACGTGTATTATTCCTCGGTAGATTGTTTTGAAGCTTTATAACACGTGCTCCTGTGTTCTGTCTGCTGTTCTAGTGTCTTGAATGATGTTTGTCCATAAGAAGAAAAGTCTATGGAAAGAAGACAAGTATAAGTCCAACAAGTCATCCTTGACCTGGTCCCAGGGGTTGAGGTATTCAGAATCTCTCCTCAGACAAGGGTCCTTGGGACAATCTTTATCATGGGTCATCATTATGAAATCGGAAAAGGACCTCCTCCTCAGTCCTGCCTTTGTTTTCCAGAGAATTGTTCTATTTAGTTCCAGCTTCCCAGAATCAGGAGGTCTTGTTTGGCCTCTGATTGGTGATGATCTTTAGCTAAACCCTGGATTCACTTTAGCTAAACACCTTTAGCTAAACATGGGATTCACTAAGTTACAAAAACACTGTTCTTACAGATTGTTCAGTTTTCATGGGATATTCTACATCTAAAACTGTGCCTTTTATAGGCTGAATACCTGCTTCCTTCATGTTTTCTTATTAGAAGGCTAAATTGTATGCTTATTTTTCTAACTGGAACCATTGCATCAGGGACAAGGTGGAGTAGTAGTAGCCACTTTGGTGGAGCTTTTGACATGACCAAAATTGTTCATGTGAGGAGTGCCTTAGAATAAAAGCAAATAAACTCTCATGAGGAGACTGTTGTGTCTGTCTGAAAGAGACATCATTTTGTTTAATGTGACAGACTTACCCTTTTTTTCTGTACATTAAAGATTAATAAGTGCCGGCTTTTTAAATGTATGACTTAAAATTGTCAAGGGCCCAACTCATGTCAAAACTGGCTGGATGATATTCTCATTTGTGTGTGTATATGTCAAATCTCTTTTTCTACATCTAAACTTTCTTTCCTCTCTTTGCAGAAATAACATAATTGGCCTTTTACAATGATAATTTCATATGTATCTGAAGCTTCCTTCCTGTCATAATAATTTCATATTTGTCTGGAGCTGGCTCTCTCATTTTTTCTTTCCCCTCCCTTATGAAACTTTAAAGATTATCTGATCAAAAAATGATTCACTTGTTTTTGTGCACTCTAAGAAAATGTAATCTAGGTAATCAATATTGTCTAAAAAATGAAAACAATAAAGCAAATATATTAAACAGTGTTTCTTTTTGTGGACACTGAAAAGTATATTTACATAATACCCTTTGTTGCTATAGCTATGAGATAAATAAGAAAGGGCTTTAGTTTCAAGATAAAATAAGACATTTGGCATGATTCAGAGTTTTCATAGTATTAGTTTGCCACACACAAATAATGTTAGCAAAATATTTTGGTTCATTCAAGACCAGGGTTAATTTCCTTGCAATTCAAAATTGTATATTTCCCACATTGATTTAATGAGTTAAAAAAAGTTACTGTTTTCACAAATTGTTTAAAATTAAAAATTATATATATAAAATTAAGCAATTATGTATAATAATGGATATATTCTAAAAGGTTTAATTTTATGAAAATCTGGACAATTTAAAAAATAGACACAACATACTGGTTACTACACATTTTAATTATTTCTTAAAATGACAACAGACTAAATAGAATAACAACAAAAATACAAATGATTTTGGATGATATCTTAGTCCGTTGGCGGTGCTATAAGGGAATACTCCAGACTGGGTAATTAATTTATGTAAAAAAGAGGTTTATTTGGCTCAAGATTCTGCCAGCTGTACAAGAAGCATGGTGCCAGTATCTGTTTCCAGTGAGGCCTCAGGAGCTTTCACTCATTGCAGAAGGCAAGCTTCAGCCAGCGTGTAGAGATCACATGGCAAGAGATAAGCAAGAGAGAGCAAGGGGAGGGGTGCCATGCTTTTTTAACAACCAGTTCTCACAAGAACTTATACAGTGAGAACTCACTCATTACCACGGGGAGGGCACCAAGCCATTCATGAGGGATCCTACATCATGACCCAAACACCACCCACTAGACCCAACATCCAAAATTGAGGATCACACTTCAACATGAAGTTTGGAGAAGACAGACATCCAAACTATATCAGATGATATTTTAAACACCCATGTATGTGCATATTCATTCAAACATTCAATTGTTTTTGCCTCTAAACAATTGCTAAAATAATCCAAAATATTTATTCATGGAAAAATAAACATCAAAATATTTCTTGATTGTTTTATATTCTCTAGTATTTCTTGGTCTGAAGAAAAAAAACATTGATTATGTTGGTTAAAGATTATAATTACCATAAAGGGTTAATTATTTAGGTCAGTAATTGTAGAAAAATATAAATATGTATACAAGGCAATCAATATCAGTTTGTTTTTCATAAAAGTTGCCAGTATATTCAGAAGGTAAATCTAACATAACATATAGATTTATTTAATATTTTGATAAATTATATTTTAAAAGCCATAGTTAAAAGCTTTAAAATTTTACATATTTGTACATGTATACATATGTGGTACCTAAATACATATATATCAAACTATATTAACAAAGTATTTACTGCAAGTTGTTCCATGCATCACATACAAAATTGCAAAATTGAGGCAGAGTACTAAGATTATAAACCAAAAATAGAGAAAGTTTCAAGGAGAAATAAGGCTGTTCATGCATCAAAAGAGCAGAGAAACCTAGAAAAATAAGAACTAAAAATATTGTGTCTTGCAATATCATGGTCACTGGTGATATTTGAAAATGCAGATTCATTACAGTGATAGGAGTTGAAATTGCACTGAATTGTGGAGTATGTGGGAAATAAGAACATGTAGATAAAATATAAATTCGTCTTTCTAGGGCCGGGCATGGTTGCTCACGCCTGTGATGGTAGCAGTTTGGGAGGCTGAGGTGGGTGGATCACCTTAGCTCAGGAGTTTGAGGCAAGCCTGGGTAACATGGCAAAACCCCGTCTCTGCAAAAGATACAAAAATTAGCTGGGCTTGGTTTTGTATGCGTGTAGTCTCAGCTACTCAGGAGGCTGAGGCAGGAGAATCACTTGAGCCTGAAAAGCAGAGGGTTCAGTGAGCTTAGAGATTGTGCCACTGCACTCTAGCCTGAGCAACAGAAAAAGAGACCCTGTCTCAATTAAAATAAATAAAAAAATGTAGATAGGTAGGTAGATAGATAGATGGATGATAGGTAGATATACATATGTGTGTGCATGTGTGTGTGTGTGTGTGTATGTATGTTTCTAAAAGATACTTTGATATTAGGAAGGTAGAGAAAGCATAGTAGTTAGAAGTTGATATCAAATGTATAGTGTAAGCAGTATTAATTATTGCTCCTTCAGGCTAATGTAAAAATGTAATTATGGGCCCTATTCAAAATCTCTGTTCTGCTTATATGGGGTATACCTGATAATATAAGTTCACCTTTATTTAAAAATTCAGAAATTTAATCATCCATATAGCAATATACAGTTTACAAAGCACCATTACAACTGCTACAAAGTGTCTTAAGATATTGGCGGGAGTTGTGTAACTACTTTGTCACTGTGTTCTGGCTCCAGTTCTGGAGATGACATTTTGTATTGTAGACCCCAAATATATGAGACAGGTCTCAGTCAATATAGAAAATTCATTTTGCCAAAGTTAAGGATGTGTGCCCATGACACAGCCACAGGAGGTCTTTACCACATGTGCCCAAGGTGGTTGGGGCACAGGTTGGTTTTATATGTTTTATGGAGATATGAGACATCAATCAGTATATGTAATATGTACATTAGTTCATTCCAGAAAGGTGGGATGGGACAATTCAAAGCAGGGAGAGGGCTTCCAGGTCACAGGTAGATATGAGACAAACAGTTGCATTTTTTTTTTTTGAGTTTCTGATTAGTCTTTCCAAAGGAAGCAATCAGAAATGCATTTATCTCAGTGAAAAAAGGGATGACTTTGAAAAGAATGGAATTCTTTTTTTTTTTTTTTTTTGAGACAGAGTCTTGCTCTGTCGCCCAGGCTGGAGTGCAGTGGCGCAATCTCGGCTCACTGCAAGCTCCGCCTCCTGGGTTCACACCATTTTCCTGCCTCAGCCTCCCAAGTAGCTGGGACTACAGGTGCCCGCCACCACGCCTGGCTAATTTTTTGTATTTTTTTAGTAGAGACGGTGTTTCATCAGGTTAGCCACGATGGTCTCGATCTCCTGACCTTGTGATCCACCTGCCTTGGCCTCCCAAAGTGCTGGGATTACAGGTGTGAGCCACTGTGCCCTGCCGAAAAGAATGGAATTCTTATAAACTGCTTTTACTTTTATCCTTTTCAAAAGGTGGTTTTATAATCAGCATAGGACTCTGACAAGTGCTCTTGAATGCAGGTTTTGGAGACCGTGACACTAGAATAGAGAAAAATCTTCCAAAATTCCCATGGAGAGCTGCAGTGTTCATGAATATCAAGCTGAACAGTCAGGCAGTTCCCAGCCTGACTTTTTCCTTTAGCTTAATGATTTTGGGGTCCCAAGATTTATTTTCCTTTCACAATTACTGCATTTTTTTTTCTAAAATCTTTCAGAGTAAGCATTTTAGAAGAAAATAAGTCCTTGGTCGCAGGTTTCCTCTGATCTCTGATGGCCAGCCAAGATAGTTTATTCCTAGACAGATAGGTCATCCCATGTTATTAGGAAAACTCATTTTTAGCAGGTTATGAAGTCTCACATTCTACAAAGAGAAAACAGGGGGAGGAAGGGAGAAAAAACAACAACAAACAAAAAACAGAATAATCCTGGAAAATCGATATAGGCCATATTACTCTGAAGTCCATACATCAGTAGGCAGGTATGAAAGTGGCTTGTGTATGTAAATAGGTTGCTGTTATTTTCTTCTGAAGTTTAAGTTGTCTCATTTCAGTTCTCAGGGCTTCAAGAAAACACAGCTTAGTTTTCTGTGATTTCAAATTATGAAAAATGGGGTGAGGAAGAAAAAAAGAAAAAAATGAAAATATTATTTTGGAGTCTTGTAGCCAGGGAAATTTTAAAATTCAGTCCAAACTGTGGAAAATAATAAAAATTTAAAAACATTAGGCAAGACTAGAATCTAAAAACAGGTGTCCTATAGTTTATTTTGAAACATAATTTCTCTCTCCAGTCCCTTTTTCACTAAAGACAAATCATAGAAAAAGTTCATTTGCAAAATAAATTTTAGTCTTATTATACTTGGCTGGAGTATTTGCATAAGATCAGCAAAAATAATTATTTGTCATATGGTCTCCTCATTTTTAAAAATTAGTTTGCTATAACTTTATGTTGTGGGAAGTCAGGGACACCGAACAGAGGGACAGGCTGAAGCCATGGCAGAAGAACATAAATTGTGAAGATTTCATGGACATTTATTAGTTCTCCAAATTAATAATATTATAATTTCTTACGCCTGTCTTTACTGAAATCTCTGAACATAAATTGTGAAGATTTCATGGACACTTATCACTTCCCCAGTCAAAACCCTTGTGATTTCCTATGCCTGTCTTTAATCTCTTAATTCCATCATCTTTATAAGCTGAGGAGGATGTATGTCACCTCAGGACCCTGTGATGATTGCGTTAACTGCACAAATTGTTTGTAGAGCATGTGTGTTTGAACAATATGAAATCTGGGCACCTTGAAAAAAGAACAGGATAACAGCAATGTTCAGGGAACAAGAGAGATAACCTTAAACTCTGACTGCCGGTGAGCCAGGCGGAACAGAGCCATATTTCCCTTCTTTCAAAAGCAAATGGGAGAAATATCGCTGAATTCTTTTTCTCAGCAAGGAACATCCCTGAGAAAGAGAATGCGTCCCTGAGGGGAGGCCTCTGAAATGGCCGCTTTGGGGATGGCCGTCTTTTACGGTCACAGCTGTAGGAATGAAATAAGCCCCAGTCTCCCATAGCACTCCCAGGCTTATTAGGACGTGGAAATTCCCGCCTAATAAATTTTGGCCTGACTGGTTGTCTGCTCTCAAACCCTGTCTCCTGATAAGATGTTATCAATGACAATGCGTGCCCGAAACTTCATTAGCAATTTTAATTTCGCCCCAGTCCTGTGGTCCTGTGATCTCGCCCTGCCTCCATTTGCGTTGTGATAGTCTATTACCTTGTGAAGTATGTGATCTCTGTGACCCACACTCTATTCATACACTCCCTCCCCTTTTGAAAATCACTAATAAAAGCTTGCTGGCTTTGCGGCTTGGGGGGCATCACGGAACCTGCTGACATGTGATGTCTCCCCCGGACACCCAGCTTTAAAATTTCTCACTTTTATACTCTTTCCTTTTATTTCTCAGACTGGCCGACACTTAGGGAAAATAGAAAAGAACCTACATGACTATCAGGGGCAGGTTCCCCTGAAAACTTTATTTTATAAGGAATCTCAGATTTGACTTTAATGACGTAAGCCCAGCCTGTACCTATAAATACCATATTAGTTGGGTAAATTTCTCATCTAGAAGTCCCAAGAAGGCTTGGGGCTCCTGGGCCTGTCAGAAAGTGACATTCGTTACTTACCACAGGTCAGGAACCTATACAGGGACTGTGTAGATGAGATATGAGGGCAGCTTTCCCAAGGGGCTTTTATTAGCTCTATAAGTAAACTTTGATTCCTTAAAGGAGTCTTTATCTGATAGTATTCTATTCAAGTCAAAACCCTGGTAAAATAACCAATGTCTCCAATTGTGTCCTGTTACCAAAGAGAACAGTTTCTTATTGCACTTATGTAAATGACTATATTTCTATAAGTTAAAAATACTCACTAGTGTCTGAATTTTGAAGAAATTATGTAGAGAGAAATATGCTCCATTTTTTATATGAATATCCTTTACTCAGTTATTAAAAGCTGTAAATAGCTCAAGAGAAAAGTTTTATTGGCTCTGAAAAACAAAGAAAGGATCAGCAACATTTTCAGCAAAAAGTCATAAAAGGATTATTTCAGTCTTCTATTAGTTCAGTCCATGCAGTTAACTCCTGTTTTGCTTTATATTCATGAACATTTCAGCTCTCCATGGGAGTCTTGTAAGTTTTTTCACTATTCAAGTGTCACAGTCTCCAAAAACTGCATTCAGGAGCACCTGTCAGAGTCCCATGTTAATTATAAAACCACCTTTTCAAAAGAATAAAAGTAAAACAACTGTGGATGACAAAAGTCTTAAAACAGTCATAGCTAAAGACCCAATTGATAAGGAAACTTGGTTACTTCTGGGGCAAACAGAAATTTTAAATAATAATCATAATTACTATTAGATTGGTGCAAAAGTAATTGCGATTTTCTCCATGATAAATAATGGCAAAACCCACAGTTACTTTTACACCAACCTATACTGATAACATATGCTAAAATGTATCAGAATCACAGGAATTTCATACAATTCTGGAACATACACTGATAACACATTTTTATAAATATAATTCAAAGAAGGTCAAACACTATTTCATATTTAACAATACTTCCTGTATGATTTTATTATATCAAATAAGCTGAATATGTCTCTTTTGGACTTCAGGGGACTAATATCAAAAATGAAAAAGGACCTAAGTTAGAATTTGACTTTGGAAAGTTTGTCATATATAAAAAATTGAAAACAGTTGATATTACAAAATAGGACCAAAGGTCATTGCAAAATAAGTCATTCATTTAGTCAAAGTGATAACTCAAAGATTGCAAAAAAAGTGAAAACCTTTATGCTTTGAGAGAAGAGACTTAATTTTTCAAACAATAAGCCCTAATAAAAACAGCATGAGGCCAATTAAACTTGTTTTTCAAAATTTTATAAACAATCTATAAAATTTTAATCATCTTATACCATGAGATATAGTTTCCATAAGCCTTTTTGTAACTTGTGTGACCTTTGTTAAGGAGTAGGTTAATGCTTCAAGAACACCTTGTTAATCTAACACAGGGGTCCATATGCTGGTCTTGCATCAGTGTGCCTTTGACATTAATGGTTAATTTATAGATAAATTGAACATATTTTATCTCTCAAAATTGGCCCTTACAATCTCACATGCCCTCCTCTTTGGCGATAGTCCCTAGCCTTGAGGAATTGAATACTTTGGAATTCTGCCCCTGTGAATCATGAACACAGTTTACTTTAATTGGCATCTTCTACCAGGTCTGAAGATTAGGCTTTAATTGCTGTCAGTGTTTAAGATTTTGCAGAACCTAGTGTACTTTTTAGACCCAGGAGTCAAAGCCCTGTAACTTGATGGCACAAGGAGTTTAAAAGCACATACAGAAAGTTACATAGATGTAATAACTGTTATTAAAATTCTTTTTAATCTCAGTTTTCTTTAAGCTAACACAGCTTAGTAATAATGAAATAGGGATTATTTTGATAAAGCATAAGATCTGTTTATTAGGCCAGTTACCCAAAGGCAAAGGAAAAGACCTTCTGCAGTGTGACTGCTGTTTCCTATGGGGAATATTATGTTGATATTATGTTGGCAGGAAACATTCCCTTTAGACCTCTAAGATAAAACTTTTTTTTTTTTATCAGGCTACAAAAGTTAGAACCAGAAAGGAAAAAAAAAAAAAAAAAAAAAAAACTTACAGGAGCTGAAAATGAGTTGAAGAATAGAATTATTCTATCAGGCCTTTTAAAAGTGGAGAGAAAGCTAAAAACAGTGAGACACAAAAGTTAAAATTTGCTTTAAATTTTACAATGTCTAATAATTTGTTAAGATTAAAGCAATACCTTAAGAAAATTTCAGGCCGGGCGTGGTGGCTCACGCCTGTAATCCCAGCACTTTGGGAGGCCGAGGCGGGCGGATCACGAGGTCAGGAGATCGAGACCATCCTGGCTAACACGGTGAAACCCCGTCTCTACTAAAAATACAAAAAATTAGCCGGGCATGGTAGCGGGCGCCTGTAGTCCCAGCTACTCGGGAGGCTGAGGCAGGAGAATGGCGTGAACCCGGGAGGCGGAGCTTGCAGTGAGCCGAGATCGCGCCACTGCACTCCAGCCTGGGCGACAGAGCAAGACTCCGTCTCAAAAAAAAAAAAAAAAAAAAAGAAAATTTCATAGTTTGAACGAATTCTTTAGTGTATAAGTGGTTTTTTACTAACCAAAACCCAACCTCTAGAAAGACCATTGTAATTTCCCTTTAATTATAGACAACTTGATCACATAAAAGCTTTTTTTCAAAAATTATTTTATTATGACTTACACAAACCATTCATGGTATGCGTGGACTTTCTGGTTTGACCTAAACATCCTTGTTTCTTAAACAACCAGTTGTTTTTGTCTAGGAAAAAATTTACCATACAAGATTCCTTCTCATAAAAAAATTATTTTTCTTTAAGCTTTCTTGCACAAAATACTTCTTTAGTTCCATAACTTTCTTGCATCTCTCTTATTTCCTGATTCTTTTTACATGATTTTATACATAACCTTTGAATTAGAAAAAAAATATTCACCTTTTAAAAGGACATACTTTTTTTAGAATGTTTTCCTACAATATTTTTATTGGAAAATACCCAATTAGTGAAATATGTATTATTTAATTTTATATAACTTTAGATTCTAAATTATCATGTTTGTCTACAAATATCCCATCACATTTACCTAATTATTTTAATAGTTTATGCATGAAAACTACAATATTCATCACTTAAAATTATGAAACCACCATCACAGAACTATAACTGACACATTGTAAGAGAGCTGACTTAACTGATTCCATCTTGCTTCTAATCTCTAAGCAGTCCTTGCTCATTCCTGGGTGTAGGCTCAACTAACTTTGGAAGAAAGTCATTTGTAGTTTAGCTTTTAAACAAAGATACTAACAGTCCTCTCCCAGAGCAAACCCCCTTCCTGCATGGGGACTAGACTGCCTAAAGCCACAAGATTAGAAATTATGTTAGGAGCTTTCAGCTGGAGGCTTCAAGATTCTAAATCTCCTCACATTGCTCCTGGGGATAACATCACTATTGTAAAATGTAAGTTCAGTGCTTGAGATATTTTATAGACCCTGCACTAGATGAATCAGCTGACACCACCCAGATTAATAAACTGGCTTATCTGGTCTTGCGGCCCCCACCCAGGAACTGACTCAGCATAAGAGGACAGCTTCATAGGAATATGATTTCATCTTAGAACCAACTAATCAGAACTCCTGACACACTGGCACCCTACCCACCAAATAATCCTTTAAAGACTCTGATCCCCAAATTTTTGGGGAGACTGATTTGAATAATAATAAAACTCTGGCCTCCCGCACAGCTGGCTCTGTATGAATTACTCTTTCTCTATTGCAGTTCCCCTGTCTTGATAAATTGGTTCTGTCTAGGCAGGGGGCATGGTGAACCCATTGGGTGGTTACAGTTATTTCCCTGTCAACCATTTTATAGCCTCTAAATTTCAGGTCTTTACAGAAGTAAGAAACTTAATATTAAATAGATGATTATTTTACTAAATTCAAGATTTAGCTATTTCCATTAAACCAATATTAATGTCCTATTTATTAAAAATTACACAAGCAAAGATCATCTGTATTTGTCATGGATAATATGAAATCACTTGAGCAATAAATGCAAACAAAGATGTATGCTGGCAATTCTTAAGATATTTCTAATATTACTTTACCAATAATTTTAAAGCTAGCTTATTAAAGATTTTACTTTAGTCATGTGAACTTGAAAAGCATTTGGGCTTATTATTTAATTTATGAGTATGCTTTAAGCCAATTTCATACCTTGTGGCCTAAAACACAACAAAATATGTATACTTAAATATAAATGCACACATACACACTCATACAACCAAAGATACTATAGATTTTACTTCAGAACTTTAGCCATCAGCTATTAATACAAACTCACTGGTTTGCAAAAACAGTAACAAAAAAAGATGGTTGGATTCAAACAGTGGATTTCATCTTAGTTTGGGAACTTTATAGTTGTAGGTCAACCTTTTGGTTCTGAATTTTCACGGATGTAACTGTGCACAAAAAGACCATATATGTCCATTTTACACAAACACTTGCAAGAACAGGTGCCATAAAACCAAAGGAGTGCCTGAGAGGGGGTCATTCTCTTTGTTTTTCCTCATTCATAGATTATTTGTTTCCAACTATTTTTTTAAGGGAGGAACTGAGCTGTGGCCTAGGATTTTAGTGCAGTGAGTAGAAGTGTGCTGGTTATGGGTCGAACTCCACAGAGTGTCACCACTGAGTCATTTCCACCCTCTCACATGTCTCAGTTTCTCTATCCGGAGGTCTAGACCTGCGAGAGGGCTCAAAATGCAGAGTGACCAGCTCCTATATGCTCTTCTTGGTCGAGCCTTTTACAGTTAATTTTGTTGGGGGTTTCCTGAAGGGCCACTGACCCCCAGACACTCCCACTTGGCCCCCAGTCACCCAGGGCTGCCTTTTGGCTGGGATGAGCAAAATGCCCATTCTCCTCAGAGCTGAGGAAACTCAGTGTCTCATTTATTTATGAAAACAACAGTTCAGTTCCTCATACAAATGTGCAGACAACAATCGAGATTAATTTCAGGAGAAAAAAGGCAGTGGAGAAGACTCTTTAGAATGCCCTTCTGAACTAGTATCAGAATTCTAAACAATAACTTCCTAGGATACAAAAAAAAGCCAAGACTACTTCCTGTAAACTGCCCTCAGCCATCCCTAAGTTTGTACCACTCATCTGACACTACACACTCCAAGGTCAAATCTTCTCACCATACAATGTAATCTCTGGTAACCCCAAAGCCAAAGAGCTCAGGTAATGCAATACAGGAGAGCAGAGCTTTAGACCTAAGAAGAATCTACCCATTACTCTTGAAATGCCACAAAAAGAAAACAGGACACCCCAAAAGGGGTGAGTGTCACAGTTGAAACATTATGGAATGAGATAATGGGAATGAAAATATTATGTAAACTCTAAAGCACACTATAAAATCTAAACATTACTATTATTATTGAGATTATAGTCATCATTATTTCTTGCTACATCTGGAGTCCTAGAAAGCATGATCTTCATTAAACACTGGAGAATTTCAGTTGGCAGAACAATTTTGAGTTGAAAACCTTTAATGTTGAAATTCATTGAGTGTATGATTGCTTAGGGGAGTGCAATAGATAATAAATGACTAGAGATGGAAAAGCTGTTGGAATCTCACCTTTGGCAAAAATTGCTCTATGAGCCAGAACATCATAGAGTTGGCTGTAGTCTCTGGATATGGTGTTACTTGAGTGTCCTATCAGTAAAGCTTATAGAGTCTTCAGGGTTACCGTTTAACAACAGCCTCAGAGTCATAATCTACCAGTCATTGGGTAACTGGTTCTAGGACACCTTTATTGGATGCTCAAGTCACCTTCTTACTTACCTCCTTCTGATTTGATTTTCTGCCCCAAAACAGCTTGTTAAACTCCTGGTAGTAACGTGTAATCAGCTAAATTTCACCTTCTCCCCAAACAAGGATACTATTTTTCGCCTTACATATAGACTCTTTTATTTAATCACTTCTTCATAGATAGGGAAACCAAAGATCATGAGATTAAGTGATTAGTACATTCACTTGGACAATAGTTCAGGCACTAGGACAGTAATTTACATAGCTGAGACAGGTTTCCTCTGCTCACACTTTGGGAACTGACAGTTTTCTGCCTGTCCCACAAAATGTGCAGCAGTGTGCCACTTCTTTCAAAGGATCTGTGAATTCTTTCAGTTTTCCTGGTATGCTCCTGTGGTGGTACCTGGAACAAAAGTTCACAGTATACATCTCCACATACTGTTCTGTCCATCCCAGTAGGAGATGCACTTTAGCCCTGCCTTCTAGCTGCCATCTTCCTCCTGTCTCCAGACGAACATAATTTTGATTGGCAGCATTTCCTATTTGTAATGGATCTAGTTAACGATTCATTTTTTCCCAGAGACATAATTGGGTTATAATTATTTAAAGCATTAGTTTTGATATCAGAGACTTGGGTTTTTATCACAGATCTGCCACTTACTAGCTCTATGGTTTAAAACAAGTTAGTCCCTTATACTTTTTGGAGTTTCAGTGTTCTCCCCTGTAAAAAAAAAAAAAAAAGTAATAAAAATACCAACTTCATAGGATTGTGGACATTAAATGTGACTCTGCGAAGAATGAACTTAGCACAGTGGCTGTTGCATAACAAGTGCTCCACAAATATTATCTCTGGTTATTACAACAGAAAGTGGGCTTAGGGTAACAGGTGAATTTGTACTCTGGCTGGATCTAAGAGGAACGACACTAGTGTAGTGTTGCCAGTAAAACACAGGATACCCAGTTACATTTGAATTATGTATATGTTTTTCATATAAGTACGTGTCTGTTTTTTCACATAAGCATGTGTCATTTAAGTATATGTTTTTCATATAAGTATGTGTCATTTAAGTATATATTTGAGCACATTCGTGCTAAAAATATTCTTTGTTTATATGAAATTCAAATTTAACTAGGTGTCTTATTTTTTATTTACTAAGCATGGCTTAGTGAGCACCCACTTTCTCGAAGACTCCCCTGAGGAATGTGTCAGAAAACTCATGTCATTGAGTTGTAGTTTGTTCCTCTTGGGTGAACCACTACTTCTGAGAGTCTACTGAGCTTCCCTCTGGCTGTGATAAAGTAGAAATATTCTGGTGTTGTCATCTTAAAGAATATACATTAATTTTCAGTGTTTACTCGGGGTCATATATGGTGTCTTGCATGTTAATTTCATTAATATATTTAGGATCACTCTCCAACAGTCTTAGGCGTTTAGTGCTTTGATATTGTCATTTTGAAAAATAAGGAAACTACGGTTCACAGAGGTTAAATGACCTTTCCTGTGAGAAGAGTTAGTAAATAAGGGAACATGCACTTGAATGGCAGTAGACTAAATTGCAGTCCCGTGTTCTTATGCTGTATGCTCTGCTGCACATATATACCAAATATGCAGTATGGTCTACAACCACGACAGATAATTCTGTGAAAATATACTGTAGAAAGTGTTATATTTCCCCAGGAACCAGGTTGAGGAAGCCAGCTGTCATACCTGCTTCAGAGTGAAGGCCTGGTTAGAGCTCCTTCACATGGACATAGCACAGCTCTCTACTTGTCTTCTGTCTTTTAAGTTAAAGCCTAGCTCATTTATCTGAGATTTTTACTAGGTTGTTGGATTCCATTCATGAAGTTAAAATCTCTGAAGCAGGAACTATAGTCTTTTGTTATCTCTCTTAATTTCATTAAGTATATCAGTCTTACATGAAACAGAGCCAGCAACATAAGGTACTATTCTAGCACGTGTTTGGGATCCATTGATAATATGAAATATAAAATATATGTCTTTTACAGGATAGTCTATCTGGTTTCCTTAAAGCCAAAATGAAAACCTTTCAGCATAGAAATCCCACTAAGAGTTTAACTAGTCTCAGACTCTTCGGGGAGGCCTGAAAAGAGGCATTTTTTTTTTAACACAGTTTTCATTGTGGAGGCCATATTCAATTGCTCTTTAGAATTGCATAAGAATGGTTTAATGCTGACCTTGCTGCTAACCATCTTTTTTTACAGCATTCTATTCTCTTTGCTAAAATGTGTTATATCAGGTAGCAATTAAACAGGCAAGGAAGGCAAAGAACCTTAGAAATCCCTTATTAGAATCAGACAAAGCTATTCAACCAAAGCCTATCCTATACACTGACTTCTGAAATTAGAAGACAACAAAATAACAAAGCAAACATTCAGCCATAGTACCTTCTTTTAAAGAATATCTTACTTTCCTTCCAAATTTTGCCCCTCTTCTGTCCTGCATACCAGTGATCTATCTTTGACCCCTTTCATCATTTATGTTTCAGGCCCCATAAATCCTTGCTTAGATAAATCATATACAGTCTTCTTCCTACTCTGAGAAGCAAGTACCTTTAATTTGTTTTAAGAGAATGCCTCATTCTCAGATTATTGGTTTGAGCAAAGAAAGCATGATTAGCTTGCATCACACACCATACAATCTGAGGATGGTTCCTCACAGGGATTTTTAATAAGGGCTGTTCTGGCTTAGCTCCAAAATCCAAAGTGCCCACAATTGCATGCTCCCAGGCACTTCACTTGCCCTGAAATGTAGGCAATAATTGTTGAATTGAGCTCTGGGAGAGAGAGATGCCAGACTGCGGTTCATGTGTAGGGATCCTAGGACCCAGGCATAGAGTGATGTACTTGAGTCCAAACAGAGACCCAGTCATACTGCTCTGAGAACTGCATCAGCTGGGGGCCTGGGAAATTTTCAGATATGTACCATGAATCCCCTAAAATGTTATGCATCAGCCATGCAGCTTTTACGTTTGTTAATATTTCATTGACTCAGCAATAGGCACTATACAAATCAGAGAGTTCTGTTTCCCAGAACAAAATAGATCTTTGGAATTTAAATTCTCCCTGGTATACTTATAAGAAACAAATTAAACACAAGCATGCAGGACAGGGAGGTTTTGAAACTTAATGTTTTAGACTGTAAATCTTGCATGCATTCAGAATAAATGTGGTTTCTTCTTCTTAATGGTGCCTTTTTCTTGCATTCTCTAATATTTACCCTGTGGAAAAAGGCAAGTCAAATGCTAAATCGTTTGTGATGCCCTCTTTAATATTACCTGCGTAAATCCTCAACTGGCCTACAAAGCGTGGTCGTTATTTTAGCCTTTTTTCCCCCAAATAACTACAGATTACTAAACAGCTCTATACATTCAAGGATTTAGAGTTTCCTGTGATTTCTTGGTGGTCACAGAAAGACATTGAGCACAAGTATCCCTCTGAATGTTAATTTGTCTCGGTTTTCTTTGGGCTGGTTTTGATCATATTCATCAATTGAAATGATGTCCTAGCAGACAGATCACAATTTCTATTTTTTTCAAATACTATAGCTTTATTATTTATGATAAAGCAATACGATGTTTTCTGTGTATATCATTGGTCAATAATATCTTAATATGAAAAAGCATCTTGCCTAAAGTTTCCTTATACATGAAAAATTACCAAAGCTTGCTTGAAACTCCTAATATAGCTATGTGTAAACCTCCAACAACTCAGACACCTCTTCCTGCCACTTTATGCATAAATTATCCTATCAAAGAGCTGGTATTTATTCTGAGCTCTTTGAAATTCTAATCACTTGTATACACCTCCCCAGGCCAGTTGTCTTTTGAAATTTGGATTACTTACAATTGGCTATTCATAAGTGCTGGAATATACAGTGTGGAGTGCCACCCATTTAGGAGGCTTTAAAGATTCATTGTTCCATTTTCCTTAGTGGAAATTTAAATGTTTAATAATGATTCTAAAATGATTCTGCAATTCTCTTTATTTTAATATTAATGCCATTTTTAGTATCTTCTGTGCATGTTGAATAGCTTTTTAATTAAACAGAGATGGTACCCAGAAATCATCGACCAGAAACCACCTAAAGATTCCATCAAACTATTTTCTCCTGATTTGCCCTGCTAGTGGTGAGAATGTGCAGGGACATGCATGAACCCATGTGTACACACACACACACACCCTTTTTTCCTGAAACTATCCACAGAAGAGTCTTTATAGTTTTATTGGATATCAAATTTCTGTTTCACTCAGTACCATTTCAGTAGATTCTTACTCATATCTGCTTTAATCTCCTTTTTTGCAATTTTGGTTCTTGTCCTGTATCTGAGATAAAATATGATCAAACACGCCTCTGTTTTGTGGATCGCTAGAGGACGTAATTTGCAATCACTTTGGTTTATCCTGGCTGCTGCCAGAAAACAACAGGAGACCCTTTACTTATGGCATATTTCATGTCACTTTCCACTTATAACATGAGTTTTTAATGATATATTAGTTCCTAAGTACTGCCATTCTCGCCTAGGTTGATTCTCATCATTCTATGCATGGATTGCAACAGCAACTTACTAATATATTGGTCTAATTCCCATTGTAATGAGTCAGCTTCACTTTCATTTACTGTATCAAGCCTGCCTCATCTTTTCCAATTCACAGTTATGTTGCCTTATCTTGCCCTCTTCCTCCTCTTAAGTGAGCACTTATTGCCAATCTAGTCTTGAATAAGAAGTTTGAAATTGATGTTTCTTGTTATTTGCCGGCTGCATATGTATGTCTCATCTTCTGTGTAGAAATCTTAGGTCCTCAGAGCAGCAATTATGCTTAATATTTTCTAGTATTCCTGAAAGCATCTGACACAAGGCTTTAATTGGGATAATTTTAACTTTCTATTTATATGTAAATGAAGATATGAAACGAAGCTTATAGTAGGCCCTCAATATCTATGTGATATTTTCCTGTATACACACACACATGTGTGTATATATATATATATATATATATTTATATATATATATATATATATATATATATATATATAATGTTTCATATTATATGTGAAAACAAAGAAAACCTTAAATGATTTCTGTAGAAATAAGTCATGGTTCTGAGAAATGCAATACTTTCATTATTAACTGTTTTCTGTTATGATTTCATTGAGCCCAAAACTATAAAAAATATTATTTTCCATTATTTCTGACTTCCTTAATAGGTCCTCCCCCTGACCCACAAGCACACCCTGTGAGCTTATAAAGTTCTAGTCATAGGATCGTCTGTCTTTGTCCTATTGCATTCATTTTCATCCACAATTATTCCTTTTCATTCTCTCTGGAATTCTTACATTCATTTGACTGTATACTTTGACTCATGAGTTCTGATTTACATACTGGTGGATTCATTACTTCAGTTGGTTAAACTTCTTAGGATTGGCCTGGCACCCGGCTATTTGCCCTCTGCCTTCATATAACACATTTCAAGCAAGATAGACTCCCAGAATTTTAGAAAACATCTCCAAAGGAGCGACCTAATCTACACTTGACCTACCTAATATTGGAGAGTAATCGGATAGTAAGAGTTCATTGCCTATGCTTTGATTAGATACACTCAGAATTAAAACAGAGTCCTTATACTGACATCATTCTACATAAACAGAGTTAATATGACTTATTTGTGTTATTTTACATCTAAGATACCGTTCACACAACATTGGCCCATGCAATATTCAAATAAACTTATATTTTCTGAAAGATTTATGTTATACGATGTTAAAGTAAAAAGAATTGATTCTCTGAATTATTTACTAAGCTTAACAGAACTTAGAAGCTGTTTCTGCATTTTTAAATGTATCTCTCCCTTGTGAAAATCAAGAGCTGCTCATTTTGGCATTTGAAGCAAAGGAATGAAGTATTTTATTTCATTTTGCTTTAGCTAATGATTCTAAACTCAAAAGTTTACTGTTGGTTAATGATTCTACACTAGGATATTTTAGGAGATTACAAAACATTATCTTTTCAGAACACTGTTAACTTTCAGTCAACCCAGTTTAATTTCCCATGAAAAACTAAATTTTGAGCTAGATTTTTAACTTACTAAAGCATAAAAGTAAATCAGAGATAATACAGCAAAGCATTATATTCTTATTAAAATGTCCATCATTTTTAATATTATGAGTTCAGCATAATTACAGAAAAGCAACTAATATTTTAAGAACTTCATATTGTATTTTTGAAAAATAACAGAAGAACAAGTTTTCAATAGTCAATTAGGTTTTTGTTTTCCAAGATGGCAGATTGGAGGCTTTCATCATGCGTCTGCCACTTGGGAAGACCAAAATCATGCATAAAGATCAACTCTGTAAGCTTTAATTCAACAGTGAAAACGGGAATCCACCGAAATACTGAAAGACACTCCAGATCCCGTAGAGAAGGTGGACAAGCAGCCCCCATGATGGCGTTTGATGAATAAAAGTGAGTGAAGCCCATAATAAGAAAGGGGCAGGAAGTCTCTGTGATTCACCTTTCCACTGGGGATCTAAGCAACCTAGAAGAAGGGAGAGAACATTATTTCTCCGAAGTCTTGGAGCTGCCTTACAGACAGGCTAGAAGACATTGAGAAGGGAAGACAGTGGGGAGAGCTATAAGCATTTTCCCAGACCAGAGATGGAGAGCAGGACACCATTTTTATTCAGGCCCATACAAAGTCAGTCATTCTTTGGTGACCTGGGAGGATGGCCATGCAGGCATTTTAGTCTTGGGCCAAAGATGGTAGTACCCACTCTGGAGTGGGTTAGGGTCCTCCATAGCCAGAACTGTGGAAAGCACCTCAGAGGTAGGTGCTAGAATTGCACTGTCCCCTATCACAGGCTAAGGGTGCAAGGAGAACTGCTACAGCTGCAGTTTCTCCTTGGTAACAAGACTTGAAGTCAATGACAGCTTAGCAATCTGGAACTGACCTGCATGTGACATTGCTCAGCACTGCAGCCTGCTCACCTGGGATTGTGGTGCAGAGGGGCCCTCTCTGTTCCAGACCCAGGCAGATCTCCAGGCATTCGGAGCACCCACTTGCACAGATTAGAGTCTAGTGGGACCCTCTCCACTCTATTCCTCTAGGCAACTGTACACTCCCTTGCCTGGAGCAGCTGCCTGAACTGCCCCACCCTTCCTGTGCATAGATTGTGGCATAGCTGGGCCCTCTCTGCTCTATGTCCAGGCAGATTTCCTTGTATTTGGAGTGTCTGCTTACTTGGATCTGCAGACTGATTCACCCCATTTTAGTGCAGAGATTGTGGTGCAATGTGGCCACCTATGCTCCATGCCCAGGCAGATCTGCAGGCATCTGGAGCACCTGCTGTCTTGGATTAGGAGTAAACTCAGACCTCCCTGACCATATAGAAAACTTGGGGGCAAAGGAGGTTCCCCAGCTCCATGCCTAGGTACACCTCTGAGAAATTGGTGACTGGCCAGTTGACACCCCTCAGTGCTGGTGTTTTAGTCTGCCATTAAGTAATCTGTAGGCGGGCCTGACTGGTCCAGCCCCACCTATCTTGGTTTCCTGCTATGGGGCTTCTCAGGGAGCTGACACCACTGTGCACTCCACAGATCAGCCCATTTCCTAAACAAGGATCAAGTATGTACTCATCCACATTAGCTGCGGACAGCTCTTACCTATAAGCACCATCTACTGGCCTGTAGGTTGAACCACATAGCCCAATATAAAACCAGCTAAAGGAAGTGTATAGGGCTATAGAAACAAAAGCCAAAAGACAGTACCCAACACTCTCTACAGTCACATCTCCTAGGGAGGGGGGAAAGGGGAAAAATTAATAATAATAATAATAATAATAATAATAATATAGCAAAAATAAGAAAGTATTCCTATACACATGAAAATAATTGCAAAAGTTAGAAGTGCCAGTGTCCCCAGATAAGAAGAAACCAGTGTAAGAATTCCGGCACCATGAAAAATCTGAATGTCGTGACATCACCAAATAATCACACTAACTCCCCAGCAATGGTTCCTAATCAAAATGGAAAATTGGAAATGACAGATAAAAAATAAAGCATGGATTACAAGGAAGCTTAATAAGATCCAGGAAAAGGTTGAAAACCAACACAAAGAAACTTATAAAGCAATTCAGAAAATAAAGAGATAAACATCTTGAAGATAAATCAGTCAGAGCATTTGGAATTGAAAAATTGACTTAAGGAATTTCAAAACACAAATGAAAGCTTTATTAATAGTCTAGACCAAGCAGAAGAAAGAATTTCAGAGGTTGAGGAACAGTCTTGCAAATAAACTCAGATAAAAACAAGAAAAAAACTTAAATGAATAAGGCCTCTTAGAAATATGGGATTATGTAAAATGACCAAACCTACAATTTATTGGCATTCCTTAGAGAGAAAGAGAAAAAGTAAACAACCCAGAAAATGTATTTGAAGGAATAATCTAAGGAAATTTCCCTAGTCTTGCTGGAGAGGTAGACATCCGGGCACAAGAAATTTAGAGAACATCTGCAAGATACTATACAAAATAAATATCACCAAGGAATATATAGTCACTAGACTGTTCAAGGTCAAAGCTAAATGAAAGATCTTAAAAGCAGCTAGGGAAAAAGTTCAGATCACTTACGAAAGTAACCTCATCAGGCTAACAGCACACTTCTCAGCAGGAACCTTACAAACGATAAGGGAGTGGGGACCTATTTTCAGTATTCTTGAAGAAAAAAATCCAACCAAAAATTTCATACCTTTCCAATCTAAACTTCATGAGTGAAGGAGAAATAAAATATTTTCCAGACAAGCAATCACTAAAGGAATTCATTACCAGTAGACTAGGCTTACAAGAGATCCTCAAGAGAGCAATAAATATGGAAACAAAACAACAATCCCTTACCCCAAACCACATTTAAATATATAGTCCGCAGACCCTATCAAGTAACTACGTAATAGAAACTACAAAGCAACCAGCTAACAACTTCACGATAGTATCAAAACTTCACCTATCAATATAAACCTTAAGTGTTAATCGTCTAAACGCACCACTTAAAAGACACAGAGTGATAAGTTGAATAAAAAATTAGACCCATCCATCTGTTGTCTTCAAGAAATTAATCTCACAGGTAATGACACCCACAGGCTCATGGTAAAAGGTTGGAGAATGTTATATAATACAAATAGAAAACAAAAGAACAGGAATCACAACTCTTATATCAGATAAAACAGACTTTAAACAAGCAGCAGTAAAAACGGACAAAGAAGGACATTATATAAAGTTAAAATATCCAATTCAACAAAAGGACTTAAATATCCTAAATATATACACACCCAGCATTGGAAAATGCAGACACATAAAACAAGTACTTCTAGATCTACAAAAAGACTTAACAACCACACAATAATACTGGGGAACTTAGTCACTCCACTGACTGCATTAGACAGATTATTGAATGAGAAAAGTAACAAAAAATTGTGGACTTAAATTCCTTACTTGACCAATTCTAACTAATAGTCATCTACAGACTACTCTATCCGTCAACCACAGAATATACATTCCTTTCTTCTGCACACAGAACATACTCTAAGACTTAGCACACGCTTGGTCATAAAGCAAGCCCTAATAATTTCATAAAAATCAAAATTATACCAACCATACTCTCAGAACAATGTGGAGTAAACATAGAAATCAGTAACAAGAAGATCTCTCAAAACCAGGCAATTATATGGAAATTTAAAAACTTGTTCCTGAATGACTTTTGAGTAAAAAACAAAATTAAGCAGACATCAAAAATTATTTGAAATCAATCAAAACAAACATTGCATACCAAAATCTCTGGGATACAGCAAAAAGCATTAAGAGGAAAGTTTATAGCACTAAACACTTATATCAAGAAATTAGAATGATCTCAAATTAACCATCTAACCTCACACCAAGAGGACAAAAAAAAAAAAAAAACTAACTCCAAAGCTATAGGAAGAAAACAAATAACTAAAATCAGAGCATAACTGAATGAAACTCAGCCTCCCAAATCCATACAAAGGATAAATGAAACCTAAAGTTAGTTCTCTGGAAAGATAAAATTAATAGACTGCCAGCTAGATGAACAAAGAAAAACGGGAGAAGATCTAAATGAGCACAATCAGAAAGGACAAAGGAGGTAACATTGTAACTGATCCTACAAAGATACAGAAAATTCTCAGAGACTATTATGAACATGTCTATGCACACAAATTAAAAAATCTAGATGAAATGGACAAATTCCTAGAAACACATCTTCCCAAGATTGAATCAGGAAGAAATGGTAACTAATCAGACCAATATCGAGTTCCAAACTTGAATCAGTTATAAAAAATCCACCAAACAAAAAAAACCTTGCACTGATGCATTTACAGCAAAATTCTACCTGATGTAGAGAGAAGAGCTGATACCAATTTTACTGCAACTATTCCAAAAAATTGAGGAAGTGAGACTCCTCCTTAACTCATTCTATGAAGCCAGCATCACCCTGATTAAAAAATAAAAATTAAAAAAAAAACCTGGCAAAGATACAATGACAAAAGAAAACTTTAGGGCAATATTTCTTCTGAACAGAGACAGAAAAATTCTAAACAAAATACTAGCAAACAGAATCCAGCAGCACATCAATAAATTAATTCACCACAGTCAAGTAGGCTTTATTACTGGGATGCAAGATTGGTTCAACATACACAAATCAATAAATGTGATTCACACATAAACAGAATTAAAAATAAAAACTATATGATCATCTGAATAGATGCAGAGAAAGCTTTCAATAAAATCTAACACTCCCTCACGATAAAAACCCTCAACCAACTAGGCATTAAAATAGTCTACCTCAAAATAATAAGAACCTTCTGTGACAGATCTGTAGCAAACATCATACTGAATGGACAAAACCTGGAAGCATTACCCTTAAGAACAGGATCAAGACAAGGATGCCTACTCTCACCACTCCTATCCAACATAGTACTGGAAGTTGTATCCAGAACAATCAAACAAGGGAAAGAAATAAAAGCCATTCAAATAGGTAAAGAAGTCAAATTATCTCTCATCTTTGATGATATGATTCTATAGCCTGAAAACCCTGAAGACTGCCAAAATTCTCCTAGACCTGACAAACAACTTTAGTGAAGTTTTAGCATACAAAATCAACATATAAAAATCAGTAGCATTTCTGTACACCAATGTTCTAAGCTAATATCCAAATCTTAACACAATCCTATTTACAATAGGCACAAAAAGTGAGATATCTAAGAACACAGCTAACCAAGCAGGTGAAAGATCTCTACAAGGATCACTATAAAATACTGCTGAAATGAATCAGAGAAGACACAAACAAATGGAAAAAATATTCTGTTCTCATGGATTGGAATAATTAATATAGTTATTAATGGCCATACTTCCCAAAGTAATTTACAGATTCAACACAATTCCTACCAAACTACCAATATCATTTTTCACAGAATTAGAAAAAAAAAATTCTCAAATTCATATGGAATCAACAAAGAGTGAGAACAACCAAAGCAAACCTAAGTAAAAAGCACAAATCTGAAGGCATCACATAACCCAATTTCAAACTCTACTACAAGGCTGCAGTAATAAAACAGCACAGTACTGGTATAAACACAGACACATAGATCAATGAAACAGAATAGGGAATCCAGAAATAAACTTGCACACCTACATCTACCTGTTTTTTTACAAAGTCGACAAAAAAAAGCAATGGGGAAAGGAATCCCTATCCAATAATTCGTGCTGGGATAACTGGCTAGTCATATGCAGAAGAATCAAACTGGACCCCTACCTTTCATTGTATACAAAAATTAACTCAAGATGAATTAAGATTTAAATGTAAGACTTCAAACTATAAAAATCTTAGATGAAAACCCAGGAAATATTAATATAATTCTGAACATTGTTCTTGGCAAAGAATTTATGACTAAGTCCTCGAAGCAATTACAACAAAACCAAAAACTGACGAGTGGGACCTAATTAAACTAAAGAGTTTTTGCACAGCGAAATAATCTATCAACAGAATAAACAGACAACCCACAATATGGGAGAAAATATTTGCAAACCATGCATCTGACGAAGGTCTAATATGCCTAATCTATACGGAACTTAAAGAACTCAAGCAAAAAATAAATAACCCTATTAAAAAGTAGGCAAAGGACATGAATAGATACTTATCAGAAGAAGACATACAAGCATCCAACAAACATATGAAACAATCTTCATCATCAATAAGCATTAGAGAAATGCAAATAAAAACAACAGTGACACACCATCTCTCACCAGTCAGAATGGCTATTATTAAAAAATAATAATAATAAATAACAGATGATGGCAGGGCTGTGGAGAAAGGTAAACACTTATACACTGCTGGTGGGAATGTAAATTAGTTTAGCCACTGTGGAATGCAGTTTTGAGATTTCTCAAAGAAATAAAAACTGCTCTATCATTCAACCCAGCAATCCAATTACTGGGTATATAACCAAAGGAAAACAAATTGTTTTACAAAAAAAGTCAGATGCACTTGTATGTTCATCGCAGCACTATCTGCAATAGCAAAGACATGGAATCGAACTAGGTGTCCATGCAGTGGATTGAAGAAAATATGGTGCATACACAGCATGGAATACTATGCATTCATTAAAAACAAAGTGAAATCATGTTCTTTGCAGCAACGTGGATGTAGCTGGAGGCCATCACCCTAAGTGAATTAATGTAGAAACAGAAAACCAAATATTGCTTATTCTAATTTATTAGTGGGAGCTAAACATGGGGTACTCATGGTCATAATGATGACAACAATAGACACGGGGGTGAGAGGAGGAGGGGAGCAAAAGCTGAAAAACTACCTATTGGATACTATGCTTACTCCCTGGGTGACAGAATTATTTGTACCTCCAACCTCAGTACCACACAGTATATCCATGTAACAAATCTGCATATGTACCCCCTGAATCTAAAATCAAACTTGAAATTATTTTTTAACATTCGATTACAATGTTTGAGCTACAGTTATGGCTAGACGAGCATCAATATCACAGATGCTAAAGCAGAAGCTATCAGGGTGTACTTTAGAAGACATTCTCTTTTTCATTTCAAAAACGAAATTTAAGTGTCTAGAAATGTTGGTTTCAATAGAACATTCATGACAATCCTAAACTTAGATGATACGAAGTGTATGAGGATGGTTTTGGCTATAAATAATAGACTATCCAACTAAAATTGGCTTAAAAATAAAGACATTTATTATCCAATGTAACATGTCTGGAAGCAGGTTTGGTTTATTCTGAGGCTAAATGACAACATCAAAAGCCCAGGATCTGTCTGTCTGCTCATCAATCCTTGGCCCACTGGCTTTCAACTTCAGATTTGTAACTAAAGCGGTTATAAAATGGGTGTGAAGCATTAGACCTTCACTGATAATGTTCATAGGCAGGATCATTTATATTGTTCATGTTAGGGGTAGAAGGTGTCTGAGTTACCAGCAGTGAATCCACATGGGTCTGCAGCAACCTCAATTCTTGTCTCCTCAGAAGAAAGAATTCAACTGAGGGGCATAAAGCAGAAAATGAGACCAAGGCAAGTCTCAGAGCAGTAATGGAAGCTTATTAAAAAGCTTTAGAGCAGGAAAGACAGGAAAGTACACTTGGAAGAGACCCAAGTGGGCGAACTGAAGGACAAGTGCAGCATTTAACCTTGATCCTAGGACTTTATATGCTGCCCCACTTCTGGCATCCTGTGCCCCTTTCTCATGATTCTTCCCTTAGGGTGGGCTGCCCGCATGCGCAGTGTCCTCCTTAAACTTGAGAAGTGAGCATGCCCAGTGTGTTTAAGAAGTTGTATGTATGCCCACCTGAGACTCTCTTTCCATTTCCTGTGTAATGCACCTGGAACGTCATACTCTGCCATTTTGTCTCTTAGTGTGCATTCCTGGACTCACTTGCCCAACTCCTGAGATTTTATTGGAAGCTGATTGCTAATCTCAAGTGTTTTTTTATCTGTTTGGAAAGTTGCCTGTCCCTGGAGCCTGTGATCAATTAACACTTTAGTGTGACAGCTGTGGACCTTCAGGAGCTTGTCTCCCGCCGGCTCCAGCTGCCAAATTATCATTTTTGGAGAGGCAGTGTGATAACTGCTGAATCATCCCCTGACGGTCCCCTGACATTCCCGGTTGGTGGGGGGAGAGCCCTCTCCTGCCCCGCTCATGCCTATTTAACTACCTGTAATATTCACAGATTTGACTCTTATATTGAGAAGGAAAATCACAACCAAAAACTTCCTAGCAAACTTATCCTCAGAGATCATTATCTGGGATTAAATTACATCCATGCCCTGCTGCAGGGGTAGCTGGGAATGTATCTGGCACTAAAATGGAGGTTGGGGGACTTTGACTTCCACGATGATTGAGTGGTCATACTTTCTTCCTGTTCCTCCCACTAAATACAACTAAAAACCCTAGGCATTATGTATGAAGAAAACAAAAGTAAACTCTGATAGTTGGAAAGAAGGTAGATTAGTTAGAGACCGTGGGACACAAGGAACAACACAGTGATGAATTTCCTGGGTTTTCTTTTTACTTCACACATCTCAGGGTTCTAGCTGAAGAAGTCAGCAACTTGAACCACCAATGAGTGCGGACCAAAGTATCCCACCCACACACAAAGATGGGCAGACAAGCAAGGCAAAATAACTTTTAGAAAATAACCCACTCCACTCCAGTCAAACACCACAGAAAGATCTGTGGGTGGAACCTCACCAAGATTAACAAAAGCTGAGTGGTGAACCTAGATGTCTACCCTCACCAAGCTTTAATGAGGCACCCCAACTCCTACCTAACCCTGCTAGGGTTACATCAGATAAGCTGAGTGTGAAATTGGATTTTCATCTCCTCAAGCTGATAACAAGATATCTCTTCACTCCATGGTGTCATTAGAGGCCATGTGGAGAGCCAGGACTTTTAACCTCACCCCAAAATGTAGTGAGGTGGCCCTCTGCCTCTCTGATGGAGTGGCATCAGAGGAGGCCCATTAGAGAGCCAGAACTTTCACCACTTTACAGCAGTGACAAGTCCACCACATCACAGAGTCAGTGGAAGCCATGTGGGGAACAGTAATGAAGCACTCCTACTCCTCTTCCCCAGGGGGATACCTATGGAAGCCTAATGGGGAGACATACATACAACCCTGGGAAACAGGAATCATAAGCCCTTTCAAATGTTGAAATTAAAATGAGCCCCATGTTCTTGAAAAAACATAATGGTTGAGAAATTCCCCTTACCTTTTGGAGCTCCAGAAAACAGCTTACTGCAAACTACCCTTCCCCATATGACTTAGAGAAGACTGATGGATGCCTTCCTTTGTTTACCTGTAACTATGTCCGATACAGACCCACCAAATTCCTGTTTTTTTTTTCTTTTTTGCCTCATAATTGATTAGTAGAACTTCAGTAAAGCTTCTCTGTTTTTATCAGATACAAGAATAGCTACTCCTGCTCATTTTTGATTTCCATTTTTATTTTTCCACCCCTTTACCTTGAGTTTATATGAATCCTTATGTGTTAGGTGAGTCTTTTGAAGACAATAGATATTTGGCTTGTGATGCTTTATTCATTTTGCCAATCTGTGTTTTTTAAATGGAGCACTTAGGCCATTTACATTCAGTGTTAATATTTCGATGTGAAGCATTGTTCCAGTCCTCAATTTAAGTTTTACCTAGATACTTTGTTTTCTCTTTTGTGTTATTGTTTTATAAGCCTTGTGAGTTCTATGCTTTCAAGAGGTTCCATTCCAGTGCATATTGACCTTTTGTTTCAATATTTATAACTCCTTTTAGAATTTCTTGTATGGCTGGTCTGGTAGCGACAAATTTCCTCAGCATTTGTTTGTCTGAAAATGACTTTTTATCTCCTTCATTTATGAAACTTAGTTTTGCTGGATAAAAAATTTTTGGCTGAAAGTTATTCTGTTTAAGGAGGATAAAGATGGGACCCTAGTCCCTTCTGGCTTGTAAGGATTTTTCTGAGAAGTCTGCTGAAGTCTGATAGGTTTTTCTTCATAGGTTACCTGATGCTTTTGTCTCATTGCTCTTAGAATTATTTCCTTTATAATAAATAGTTTTATGACTACATGCCTTGGTTATATGCTTTTTGCAATGAATCTCCAAAAAGTTCTTTGTGCTTCTTGTATTTGGATATCCAAGCCTCTAACAAGGCTGGGGAATTTTTTCTCAATTATTTCCTCAAATAAGTTTACAACCTTTTTGCTTTCTCTTCTCCCTTAGGAACACCAATTATTATTACGTTTGGCTGTTTTGCATAATCCTATATTGCTTAGAGAATGTGTTCAATTCTTTTGATTCTTTTTTCTTTATTTTTGTCTAATTGGGTTAATTCAAAAGCCTTGACTTTGAGCTCTGAAATTTTCCTTCAACTTGTTGTAGTCTATTACTAAAACTCTCCACTTCATTTTGTAATTTCCTAAATGTGTTTTTTATTTTCAAACACTCTGTTGTTGTTTTTTTAAAATATTGATCTCTTTAGAAAAAATTTCATTCACATCTTGAATTGTATTTTTAATATCTTTAGCTTGGTTTTAATTTCTTCTGGTATCTCCTTGAATAGCTTCATAATCAACATTTTTAATTCTTTATCTGATACTTCCAAGATTTCAACTTGATTTGTATCCATTTATGCAAAACTAGTGTGATCTTTTTCAAATCGTTCACTCGACATGTAGAAATGCTACTAATTTTTGTATGTTAATTTTGTATCCTGCAACTTTACTGAATTTGTTTATTAATTATAATAGTTTTTGATAGAGTCTTTAGGTTGTTTCATATATAAGAATTTAAATAACTAATACCAACCCTACTCAAACTGTTCAAAACTATCAAGGAGAAGGAAATACTTCTGAACTCATTTCTGGGAGTATTACCCTAATTAGTATTACCCTAATATGGAAACCAAATAATGACTTAGCACAAAAGGAAACTATAGACCAATATCTCTGATGAACATAGATGTAAAAATCCTCAACAAAATATTCGCAAACCAAGTTCAAGAACACATTAAAAAGACTGTTCAACTTAATCACATGGGATTCATCCCAGGGATGCAAGTATGTCTCAACATATGCAAATCAATAAATATGATACATCACATCAACAGAATAAAGGAATAGACATGTATGATAATTTCAATAGATGCCAAAAAAAAACATTTGAGAACATTCAACATTCCTACATAATAAAATCTCTCAACAAACTATATAGTAGGATCGTAGTGTAACACAATGAAAACCATGTAAGACAAATCCATATATAGTACCATACTGAACAAGGAAAAGATGAAAACTTTAAGATCTGGAATAAGACAAGAATGCCTACTTTCACCACTTTTATTTGACATAGTAATGGAAGTACTAACCAGAGCAATTATATCAGATAAATAAATAAAAGGCATCAGAATTGGCAAGGAATAAGTCAAATTATCCTTGTTTGCAGATGATATAATCATTCATCGTATTCTTTAGCTCCAGAATTTCTATTTGATTCCTTTTAACAATTTCTCTGTGTTTAATTTCTATTTTTGCTCATGTATTATTTTTCTTATTTTGTGTGGTTGTATATGTGTATTCACTGTTTGCTTACTGAACTTCCTTAACACAATTATTTGGAGTTCTATGTCAGGCAATTTATAGATTTCCATTTCCTATGATCAGTTATTTGAAAATTATTGTGTTCCTTTGGTGTCATGTTTCCTTGCTTTTTTTGCTTGTTTGTTTCTTGTAACGTTTCACTGATGTCTGCACATCTGATTGAGCCGTCACCTTTTCCAGATTTTTAAAACTGGTGTCAGTGGAGTAAGATCTTCACCTATGGGTGGCTGCAAAGGCGATGGCTTAGTGAAAGGCTGTACTTTTACCTCTGGAGAGCGCACAATGGAATAGTCTACATGCAACTCTGTCAGTTAAGGTCAGCATCAGTGAAGATTGTGGGGGTCCTCTGCAGTCTTCTACATTCTCCTTCTTGTTGACATCACTCTAACTTCCCCATTGGAATTATTTTAAAAATTATGCATTTTTAAATTAATGTTTTTCTTGTGAAATTTTGGTCATGTGCACCTAAAAGGTTGATACATACTGCCAAATGAATGTTTAAATCTATTGCATCATTTCATATTCCAGTCCACTTTACAACAGAGGAGTTCCTGATTCCCTAGACCATCATCAATACTGTAAATTATAAGAACTTATATTTGCCACTCTGGTAGCTAAAACATCATTTCTAACTTTAATATTTAATTTAGTATTGAGATTATTTTAATCATATGGTAGTAGTAACATTTTCACATTTTTATATACCCTTTTTTGAAATTTTCTTTTCAAACATCTTAGATGTCGATCATATATTAACTTTCCATTTCATCACCATTGCAAACCCTTAAAATAATAACATTTCTTATATCATTCAAATCACTGTCATTTTTTAGTAACAATTGAGAGTTGTGATTCCCTTCTTTATGTTCATTATTTATTCAGCATCCACTACCCACTTTGTTATAATCACTCTGCAGTGGAGGAATTAATCCCTACCCAACACATTTTCCAATGTTTAGTCGAATAACGCCAAAAGGGAGCAAGAGAATATAAAGACATTTTAATGGTGCAATGAAGCTTTCTAAGTGGAGCAGTGTGGCTCTCATAGAGGTCAGAAAATACCTTGAGAGAGCCAGAAGAGATAACTATCTTTGGCTATAATTGTGGTTACAAGATGGGGCCGGGGTGAATTAGCCAGGTTTGAGAGGTTTGAACTGGTTATCAAATGAGTTAGCAACCAGGCTTTCTTATTTTCTTGTTGAATTCCTGGACAAAAGCAGAGAGAGGGGTAGAGCTTAAAACTCATTAGCAAACAGCAAAAATGAAGTCAGACTCTTTATTATACTTCCTCCTAACATATTATGATATATGTTTATATATCCAGCTCTTCATGAATTGTAGCTCCTGTCTCTCAGAGGAAGCTGACCTAATTCCCAGCTCCAGCAGTTGGTGTGATCAATCTAAAACAACACCATTTCTTGGTCAATGATGAGTTTATAATATATGCCAGTAAACATATAGAATACTCCTGGCCATGAGGTATCTTTACGTGACTAAACTTTAACCTATAAGATACAAGAAAATATTTATTTTGGGGGAAGGGGACTAATGAAGAGGGAGGTTTCCAGAGAAGGATTTGGAATATTTTCTCCCTCTTAAGAGAAAACAAGTATAAATGATAAGTTCATTTGCTTTGGACATTGCCATGTGCATATGTGAACTATGAAAGTAATATAGCCATTCCACTTTCAGCTTGGAACTCTGGAGAATAAAAAGAAGCAAAGTTGGAATCTTGCTGGCACCATATCTTGTTACACTTCCACATCACCACATTTTAAGTCATTTGAGCCAAGTAATTGCCTGTCTTTATTTATACTAATTTTTATTTGGTTTTCCGTTAATTTACCTCAAAACAAACAAAACCCCACTCTGATACACATACTTTTGTCTTCTGAGAGGAAGAAGTACCAGGAAAAATCCTGTTGAGGCCGGGCGCAGTGGCTTACGCCTGTAATCCCAGCACTTTGGGAGGCCGAGGCGGGCAGATCACAAGGTCAGGAGATCGAGACCAGCCTGGCTAACACGGTGAAACCCCGTCTCTACTTAAAATACAAAAAATTAGCCAGGCGTGGTGGCATGCGCCTGTAGTCCCAGCTGCTAGGGAGATTAAGGCGGGAGAATTGCTTGAACGCAGGAGTGGAGGTTTCAGTGAGCCGAGATGGCGCCACTGCACTCCAGCCTGGGTGACAGAGCGAGACTCCGTCTCAAAACAACAACAACAAAAACAAAACAAAACAAAACAAAGCAAAACAAAATCCTGTTGAGTACTGTGCTTTTAGAAGAATGAGATTTTCTCTGAGGCATAGATAGTTAAATCTCACTTTCATTACTGGTTTTCTTTTTTGGAGGCAGGGCGGTTATTGTACCAAATCCACGATTTGTACTAGATGTCACTTGCCATATATTATTTCTGCCTCCAGTTTATAATCTAATGTCTTTCATGCTATGACTTTGGTTTCTCTAATTTTATTTTCACCCAAAGGTTCCCTCTGGACCTCGGGTATTTTTTGGAGTGGGGTGAAGGAGGAGAATGGCAAGTGACTATCATCTATGCCATACTTCTTGAACTGCTTATTTTGAATAACATAAATTCTTACGTTGTCATTTTTTATTCATGAGTTACGTCTTAAGAATTGGTCCTTTCCTGCCAGGTTTATTTTATTTTTGTAATTGTATTTATTTACTTTATTATTTTTTAATTTATTTTTGAGACGGAGTCTCTGTTGCCCAGGTTGGAGTACAGTGGTGCGATCTCGGCTCATTGCAACCTCCACCTCCCGGGTTCAAGCGATTCTCCTGAGATTCTTCAGAGTATCCCGGGTTCAAGCGATTCTCCAGAGTAGCTGAGATTACAGGTGCCCGCCAGCACACCTGGCCAATTTTGTATTTTTAGTAGAGACGGGGTTTCACCATGTTGGCCAGGCTTGTCTTGAACTCCTGATGTCAGGTGATCCGCTGACCTTGGCCACCCAAAGTGCTAGGATTACAGGCATGAGCCATTGCACCTGGCCTCCTGCCAGGTTTAGAGGCCATTTAGAAGTAGGTTGGGGAAATATGTTAAGTAAATTCAACTTGATAATGGTTTTATGTATGCTCTATTATTTTTTGACATTTGTCTTTGTGTCACGTTTTTTTTCACTCAATAAACTCATTGACTTCCAATGTCTATAATTATTCCTAGGAGCATTCAATTTTATGTTTTGTACCGTTTTCTTTCTACGTTAATGGAACTTTTGGTCATGACAGACAATTTATTAGCTTGTTCATTGTGGTTAAAAGTGAATGCCTAAATACTCAGAGAGGCAAAAGGAATATTACAAATTAACTTCAAGAAATAATATTACTTAGTTATTTTTGTTTTTAAAATTTTGTTTCCACATAACTTTCATAGAAGCAATGTACATTATCTAGGAATTATTTGATTCCTGTTGTCCAAGATCATTCCGAGATAAACTTTAATTTATCATACTGATTATTTTGTTATACTTAAGAATGTTTGTTTAGTGATGTGTACAAAGGCATTTAAAGTGTGAAACAACAGTAGTATATTTAATGGCTATTATATTGTTTGGGTCATAAGAAGATATAAGTATTGAATTCTGTTTTCTAGGTAATATAGATATCACTGTTATATAAAACACATTTTATAACATTTAAGTCAATATCTGCATATTTGCTTTTAAAATCTTTTTACTTTATTTTTTCATTGTTTTGCTAATAAGCATAGGTTTTAGTGCAAGAAAATTGAGTGGCAGTTTATGACAATAACACTATTCATTTTGCTCCCGTCTAGCACTCTTACCACATATCACTCTGTGACACGTAATAAGTTCCTGTTGTGTAATTAATTATTAAAGTCACCTTATTGCATTTTTTAGAACTGGCACAAAGATAATGTAAATCACTATAATTCCCATTCCACTAAAGTGTATAATGCTACTCTGTCTATATAAATAAAGTTTGTACTTAATGTAAAGGAGATGGATTATTGTCTCAATGTGAATGCCATATAATTTTTAAGATAATCTCAGCAAATAGTTTAGCAATGCTACCTCTATACCAATGAACATTTTTTCTTATTATTATACTTTAAGTTTTAGGGTACATGTGCACAATGTGCAGGTTAGTTACATATGTATACATGTGCCATGCTGGTGTGCTGCACCCATTAACTCGTCATTTAGCATCAGGTATATCTCCTAATGCTATCCCTCCCCCCTCCCCCCACCCCACAACAGTCCCCAGAGTGTGATGTTCCCCTTCCTGTGTCCATGTGTTCTCATTGTTCAATTCCCATCTATGAGTGAGAACGTGCGGTGTTTGGTTTTTTGTCCTTGCGATAGTTTACTGAGAATGATGATTTCCAATTTCATCCATGTCCCTACAAAGGACATGAACTCATCATTTTTTATGGCTGCATAGTATTCCATGATGTATATGTGCCACATTTTCTTAATCCAGTCTATCATTGTTGGACATTTGGCTTGGTTCCAAGTCTTTGCTATTGTGAATAGTGCCGCAATAAACATACGTGTGCATGTGTCTTTATAGCAGCATGATTTATAGTCCTTTGGGTATATACCCAGTAATGGGATGGCTGGGTCAAATGGTATTTCTAGTTCTAGATCCCTGAGGAATCGCCACACTGACTTCCACAATGGTTGAACTAGTTTACAGTCCCAGCAACAGTGTAAAAGTGTTCCTATTTCTCCACATCCTCTCCAGCACCTGTTGTTTCTTGACTTTTTAATGATCGCCATTCTAACTGGTGTGAGATGGTATCTCATTGTGGTTTTGATTTGCATTTCTCTGATGGCCAGTGATGATGAGCATTTTTTCATGTGTCTTTTGGCTGCATAAATGTCTTCTTTTGAGAAGTGTCTGTTCATATCCTTTGCCCACTTTTTGATGGGGTTGTTTGTTTTTTTCTTGTAAATTTGTTTGAGTTCATTGTAGATTCTGGATATTAGCCTTTTGTCAGATGAGTAGGTTGCAAAAATTTTCTCCCATTTTGTAGGTTGCCTGTTCACTCTGATGGTAGTTTCTTTTGCTGTACAGAAGCTCTTTAGTTTAATTAGATCCTATTCATCAATTTTGGCTTTTGTTGCCATTGCTTTTGGTGTTTTAGACATGAAGTCCTTGCCCATGCCTATGTCCTCAATGGTAATGCCTAGGTTTTCTTCTACAGTTTTTATGGATTTAGGTCTAACATGTAAGTCTTTAATCCATCTTGAATTAATTTTTGTATAAGGTGTAAGGAAGGGAACCAGTTTCAGCTTTCTACATATGGCTAGCCAGTTTTCCCAGCACCATTTATTAAAGAGGGAATCCTTTCCCCGTTGCTTGTTTTTGTCAGGTTTGTCAAAGATCAGATAGTTGTAGATATGCGGCGTTATTTCTGAGGGCTCTGTTCTGTTCCATTGATCTATATCTCTGTTTTGGTACCAGAACCATGCTGTTTTGGTTACTGTAGCCTTGTAGTATAGTTTGAAGTCAGGTAGCGTGATGCCTCCAGCTTTGTTCTTTTGGCTTAGGATTGACTTGGAGATGCGGGCTCTTTTTTGGTTCCATATGAACTTTAAAGTAGTTTTTTCCAGTTCTGTGAGGAAAGTCATTGGTAGCTTGATGGGGATGGCATTGAATCTATAAATTACCTTGGGCAGTATGGCCATTTTCACGATACTGATTCTTCCTACCCATGAGCATGGAATGTTCTTCCATTTGTTTGTATCCTCTTTTATTTCATTGAGCAGTGGTTGGTAGTTCTCCTTGGAGAGGTCCTTCACGTCCCTTGTAAGTTGGATTCCTAAAACTGAGTAGATGTGCATTTATTGCTAATTGATAAAAACCTAAACCAAATAAATATGTTGATGTTTCTTGATATTTTCAAGGTTTTAAAATTATTAATACAGTTTCTAGCACTGTTTATTTTCAAAGATCAGGTACACACTTATCACAGTTGGAGGTCAGCATCCTTAGAATTAACACTGGAAATCATGCCAGCTATGATACAATTAGAAAGTTAGTTATATACAGGCCTAAGTACATCTATAATCAACAAGAATTTTTCCAGCTTCTACAATGTGTTGGTCAGTTCTGGAAAAAATTTAAAGTAGTAACGTGCCTTAATAGTGTTGAACCCTACTAAGATAGCCTTTTGTAGTGTGGAGCTTTTAACATATTCCCCAGCATTTAACCATTCTCCAGCAAAGAGGCTATACAGATCACATAAATTAGTGACTTATGATGGGTTGAAAGACTGCCAAAATAAAGAGGGTAGACTGTCTAAAGGGAGCAATAGCTACCCAGTAGTCTTTTTATTTGAACGAAGATACAGATCCAGTGCTGTAATAACTTCTAATTTTTAAGTGAATATGTAAATTTAGACTGTTATGTTAACTTACCTACTTTTTAAATATCAAGTCTACTTTTTCCTTTCTAATTCAGAAATAAAACTGTGTACAAAGCATCTAGAGTTGTATTTTTAAACAGCTCTATTGAGAAAAAATTTACATACCATAAAATATACTCACTTAAAATATACATTCGATGATTTTTAGTGTCTATATAGAGATGTGTAACCATAACAACAGTGTAATTATTGAATTTTGTCATCGTATCACTTCCAAAATAATTTCTGTGCCTATTAGCAGTCACTTCCCATTCTCCTTTACATACAGCCCTTGAAAACCACTGACACCATTTAGTGTCTATAAATTTGCCTATTCTGAAAACTTCATGTAACCAGAATCATACAATATACGGCCTTTGTTTTGGCCTTTTCCAATTAGCATTACATTTTCCAGGTTCAAACACATTATAGCATGTATCAACACTTCATTATTTTTGTGGCTGAATAATATTTTAGAGTATAATATACAACGTTTTGTTTATCCATTCGGTAGTTGATGGATATTTGGATTGCTTACATGTTTAATGTTAAATATAATGCTGCTATGAATATTCATGTACAAAATTTTGTGTGTATATATGTTTTCATTTCTTTTGGGTATATACCTAGAAATGTAATTGCTGGGTCATATGGTTTTTCCAGTTTGAATATTTTGAAGAAATGCTGGACTGTTTTCAAATTAACTACATTTTACAACCCCAGCAGCAGTGTACATGAGTTCAAATTTCTCCACATCCCTACCAACACTTGGTATTATTAGTTCATTTGTTTATATTAATCTTAGAGGATGTGAAGTATCTCACTGTGGTTTGATTTGCATTTCGCTAATGGCTAATAAGGTTGAGAATCATTTCATATGCTTAATGGTCATATCTTCTTTGGAGAGATGTCAGTTGAAATACTTTTCCCATTTTTTAGTTGTATTATTTGTCATTTTACCTTGAGCCTTTACATATATATATATATATATATATATATATATATATATATATATGATTCATTTTATATATGTATATGTGTCTGATTCATTTTTATGTAATTTTTGTATACAGTGTGACATAGGAATTCAACTTCTAACTTTTGCTTGTGGATATTCATTTATTCCAGCACCATTTTCTGAAAAGACTATTCTTGCCCTATTGCATGGCATTTTTGTAAAGCATAAATTAAGCAAAAACATAAGGATATGCTTCTGGACACTTGAGGCAATCTCATTAAATGTCTATTTTTTTTTTTTTGCCAGTTACACAGTTTCTTGTTGGTTTATATTGCTTTGTAATGAGTTTTAATTTGAAAGTGTGAGCACTTCAACTTTGTTATTTTTTTTAGGATTGGTTTGGCTCTTCTGGTTTCCTTGCATTTATAAATGTATTTTAAGACCAGCTTGTTAATTTTGTTTTAAAATTCACCTGGGATATTAACCGGGGTATCACTGAAGCTAAGGATCGATTTGAGGATTACTGCTATCTTACCAATGTTAAGTCTTCCATTTCATGATCATGGATGTCTTTTCATTTATTTAGGTCTTCTATAATTTATTTCAACAATGTTTGTAGCTTTCAGTCTGCAAATCTTGCACTTGTTTTAAGACATTTTTTCTAAGTAATTTTTCTTTATGATGATATTATGAGTTTGCTTTATGGCATTTTCACATTGTTTATTGCTAGTGTATAGAAATACACTTGATTTTTGTACATTAATCTTTTATCTTGAAACCTTGATGAACTAGTTCTATTTCTCTTCTTTTTGGTGTATTGTTTAGGGTTTTCTACATATATGATATTGATTGCAAGTAGAGAAAACTTGACTTCTTCCTTTCTAATTTGAGTGGCTTTTCTTTTTTCCCACTTTTTTTTTTTTTTTTTTTTTTTTTTGCCTAATTGTCCTAGATAGAGCTTCCAGTACTAATGAATCGGCTAAATTATGTCCGCCTTCCCACATTCATATGTTAAAGCCCTAACACCCAAGTACTTCAGAACGTGACTATATTTGGAGGCAGAGTCTACAGAAGTAATTAAGTGAAAATAAGATCACTGTGGTGGACTCTAGTGTGACTGATGTCCTTATAAATTGAGAAGATTTGAACACAGACACATACAGGGGGAAGACAATGTGAAGTTACAGGGAGAAGATGGTTATCTACAAGCTAAGACTAGTGGCGTGAAACACATTTTTTCCTCCTTACCCTCAGAAAAATATCAGTCCTGTCAACAACACATTATTTAAGGCATCTAGCTACCAGAATTGTGAGAAAATAAATTTCTGTTGTTTAAAGCACCTATTCTGTGGTACTTTGTTACAGTTGCCCAAGTAAACTAATACAAGTGACAAGAGAATACATCTTTGTCTTGGGCCTGATCTTACGGAGAAAGCAGTAAATCTTTCATCAGTAAAGTTGTGGTGAGTTAGAGGATTTAGGGGCTGATCAAGTAAAAGGCATGACTTTGAGATGTCAGTATTGCAGAATGAGCTTTATTGGGCACTGACTGAGCAGAATTGCATGCAAAGGTGTTTCTTATAGTGGGAGACCTTCCAGAGACAGGGCTGAAGGGTCATCACCGAAAGAGGGAAGAGGGCAAGGGACTAACTAGGGAGAGGAGAAATATAGAGAGGACTTATGTGTCTAGATAATGTTGCTCAGCAGCACAGTGGGAAGTCTCAGGGTCACAGAGCTTCAAAGGGCAGAAGCCATGCGGGATCTTTTATAGACAACATAGTTTGTTTTATCAATGGCTAGCAGATGTTGGATGCAATTTTGCAAGACATGCAAAGCAGGCAGGCTCTGAATGGTTATAAATAGATTTTTGAGAGCTATATTTAAAGCAATTGGAAGTGCAAAATTTTGAGATAGATGCCACTGAGCTTTGAGCTAATGTTCTTAGCATGCTATAAAGTAAACAAAAAGACCAATATAAAAAAACTATCTTTTGCCCAACAAATATGTTATCTGTGAGTTTTTCTAACTGGTCTTAACATGTTGCTGACGTTTTCTTATGTTCTTATTGAGTGTTTTTATCAGGAAAGTTGGTTGAGTGTTTTTAATACAAAGCATTGTTGAATTTTGTCTAATTACTTTTTTTGCATCTAGAGAGATGATCATGTTGTCCTTTGTTCTATGATATAAAATTAATTATTTAGTATTAATTGATTTTCAGATCTTGAATCAACCTTCCCTTCCTAGAATAAATACAAGTTGGTCATGGTATATAATTCTTTTATATATTGCTGGATTTTGTTTGATAGATTTTTTTTTAAAGATTTATACACCTATATTTGTAAGATTTGTAAGACATTCTGGTCAGTGTTATTTTCTTTTTCGTTTTCCTTTTTTTTTTTTTTTTTTTACTTGAAACAAACTTTTATTTTGAATGCTGATCTAATTAGTTCATGGCCAGGGGTAGGTGGTAACTAGAATCAGCTAGAAGGAGGCAAAGGGAGGGGACCAGCAGTCCGCAAGCAGGAGGAAAGGAGAGGTGTAGGTGTGTGTGCGTGTGTGTGTGCGTGTGTGTGTGTGCGTGTGTGCACATGAATGTCACAGGAGTGCCACCCCCAGAGCCCTGTCAGCCTCTCCTTTCTCCTCCATGGCTGCCCACCTGTTTATCTGTCTCTGTGAGAATCCTTGGGATGGTCAGGGGATGTCAGGAGCTGAAGGAGCTGTTGGGGACAGGAGGAGGCATGGCTGAGGAACGACCCAGCCAGCTGGGTGTTTGCCCTGGCTAGAGAAGGAACCACCCCGCCCACCAGGCTACCCCACACCTGTGGCTTCAGTGCAGAGAAGTCAGTCCAAGTGGGTTCAGGCCAACATCACCATCTCCGGCCTGCACAACTCCACATCAGGCAGGGGTTCTTCCAGAGGGCTAAATGCTCTGTGCTGAGCCTGGAAGTATCCTTTTCACTACTCCCTACCTGCCCCACCCACACTCCAATTGGGACTTTCAAACCTTGAGCTCAGACCTTCACTACTGTGCTCCTGTAGCAGCCACAGGGGTGACGTGGTGGGGAAGGAGGGGTTACAGTCTCAGCCTAACTCAGAAGAACATCTCTCCACCCCTCTAACAGGAGGTGCTGGAAAATATAATCCTGAGCAGACCCAGACCCCACTCTGGTAATCAGTGCCCAAGGCCCAACGAGAAGCAGGGTTGGGGAGCCTCCATGCCGGGAAGATCAGCAAAAGCCAGGAGCAACCAGGGCCAGCCCAGGAAAATGCAGGATTGTCTCCGAGAGGAAACCCACCAGCTATCTTTGGGTCAATGGCGAGGGTCAGGGTCAGGGGCTGGGATGGGGAGAGTCCTACAATCCCATTGCCACTGCCTTTCATACATCTACAGGTTACAACCAGAGAGCTTTCGGCATGACCTGTTTGGGGGCTTAAAGGGAAAAAGGAGAGAGAGAAAAGGGGAAGCCGCTACTTTCTCTTGGTTAAAATGCCCAAGGCCTAGACTGGGGGTTGCTTCTCTGGCAGCAGCAGATACCAAATCCCAGAAGCCCCTCCACCCAGTCTGGCTCCATGGAAGGGGCCCTTAAGTGCCCAAAGGAGCAGCATGACAGGGAGGGTGGGCTCCTTCTGCTCCTGATATTCCCTGATGGCCCCAAGGATACTCACAAAAACAAACATCTGGGCAGCCATAGAGGCGAAAGGACAGGCTGACAGGGTCCCGGGAGTGGCACTCGTGCACCACACACAGACACACACGTGCGCACGTGCACACACACACATGCACAAACACACACACATACACATAAACACACACACACGCACATACATACACACATATAAACATACACATACACACACATACACATACACACACGCACACACACATACACACATACACATACACACACATACACACATAAACACACGCACACATACACATGCACACATATACACACATAGACACACATGCACACACACATACACACACGCTCACACACAAACACACATACACACACACATGCTGAATAGAGACAGAGACGCATAATAAGCAGAATAAAAACTAAGGGCCCAGATGTACCAAAAAAATGTAAGTGAGGAAGAAGTTGGGGAGGAGAGTGCTTTCTTTTTCTTTGTGATGTCATTGTCTGCTTTAGGTAACAGGACATTAATGGATTCATAGGATGAGTTGGAAAATGACCTAAACTCTTATTATTTCACACATTTGTGAAGAACTAGCACTAAATTTTCTGTAAATGTTTAGTAGGAATTACCAATAGATGCATCTGTGTATTAGTCCATTCTCATGCTGCTATGAAGAAATACCCAAGACTGGGTAATTTATAAAGAAAAAAAGTTTAATTGACTCGCAGTCAACTTTTCTGGGGAAGCCTCAGGAAACTTACAGTCATGGTTGAAGGCACCTGTGCACATGGCAGCAGGGGAGAGAATGAGCACAGAACAATGAGGGGATAAGCCCCTTATAAATCCATCAGATCTCATGAGAACTCACTATCAGGAGAGCAGCATGGGGAAGCCACCCCCATGATCTAATCACCTGCCAGGGGGTGCTTCCCCCAACACGTGGGGATTGCAATTTGGATTACAATTCAAGATGAGATTTGGGTGGGGACACAGAGCCAGACCATATCGATCTGGGTCTGGGATTTCCTTTGTGAGAAGTTGTGAAATCATGAGTCAATGTCTTTACTTGTTTCTTCATATTTTACTTGTCTGTATTCAAACTTCTATTTCATTTTATACCTGTTTTGGTTGTTATTGTCTTTCTGGAAATTTGTCCAGTTGCATCTAAGTTATCTGATTTGTTGGTGTACAATAGTTTTTTTATATTCCTTTATAATTTTTAAATTCTGTATATTTGTTAGCAGTGTTTTCTCTTTTATTCCCGATTTTAGTATTTTGAGTCTTCCTTTTTTTTGTTTTGTCAGTCTAGCTAAAGTTTTGTCAATCTGTTGATCTTTTCAAATAACTATTTCTTGTTTCCTTGATTTATTGACTTTCTATATTGTTTGGCATTCTCTATTTCATTGATTTTCACTCTAATTTTTAATATTTTCTTCCTGATTGGTTTGTATTTAGTTTACTTTGTCTAGTTTCCTAATGTAGAAATTTATGGTATTAACTGGAGATTTTTCTTCTTTTTTAAGACAAGCCTAGATGCATCCACTGGTAATTTTTAACTAAACGTTTGAAGAAAAATCAATAGCAATCTTCACAACCTTTCCAAAACATAAAAGAGGGTAGGTCATATTCCTATGAAGCTAGTATTGTCCCGTTTCCAAAACCAGACAATGACATCACAAGAAAAATAAATAAATAAATAAATATACTTCCCTTTAAACAGTGCTTTAGCAGTGCATCCCCTTAATTTGGGTTTCTTAGATTTTCATTTACATCCATCTCAAAGCGTTTTTAAACTTTTAATTTCTTCTTTGAGCCATTGGTTATTTAGAAATTTAATTTTTATTTTTTTAGAGACAGATTCTTACTCTGTCACCCAGATTGGAGTGCAGGGGTGCAGTTATAGCTCACTGTAACCTCAAAATCCTGGGCTCAAGCTCAATTGATTGTCTCACCTCAGCATCCCGAGTACGTGGGAGTACAGGTGCATCCCACCATCCTCAGCAAATTTTTCAAACTTTTTTAGAGATGAGGTCTTGCTATGTTGGCCAGGCTGGTCTCAAACTTCTGGCCTCAAGTAATTCTCCTGTCTCAGCCTCTCAAAGCACTGGGATTACTGGCATGAGCCACCGCACCCAGCCAAAAATGTGTTGTTTGTATTGTCTACTTTCCACATATTTATGAATTCCTCGTATTGCCTTTTCTTATAAATACCTAATTTATTTCCCTTGTAATTAGAGAACATTGTATGATTTCAATACATTTAAATTTTGAGACTTGTTCTACAGACCAGCATATGGTTATTCCTAGGAATGTTCTATATATGCTTCAGGAGAATTAGTATTCTGCCGTTCTAGGATGGAGGCTTTTATAGTTATCTGTTAGATCTAGTTGGTTTATGCTATTCTTCGAGTCTTCATTATCCACTTTTATCTAATCGTTTTATGCATTATTGTAAATAGGTTATTGAAATCTCAAGCTATTATTACTGAATTGTTTATTTCTCCTTTTAACTTTACAATTCTTGGTATCCTTTATTTTGGCCCTCTTTTATTAAGTTCATATATATTTATAGTTGTTTTATTTGTTGGTGGCTTGACCATTTTTTTAATCTTCTCCAGTAAATTTTTTGTTTTAAAGTATATTTTATGTGATATTAATTTAGCTACTCCAGATTTCTTATGGTTGGTGTTTGCATATCAATTTTCATCCTTTTACTTTGAACCTATTTCTATTATTTCTACCTTTGAATCTTCTGGATAGAAGTTTCACTAGACAAGTGAAAACAGCATAGAACTGTGTCTTGCTTTGTTTGTAAACTCAGTGCGATCATCTCTCCCTTTAGGATTCTTTAATCCATTCACTTTTAATTTTATTATTGATATGGTTGAATTTATATCTGCAATTTCAGTTTTTATTTCTCTATGTCTCATATCTATTTTGTTCGTATGTTCTTGCGTTAGTGTCTTTTTTACCTTAAGTGAACATTTGTTATTGTAAAAACCTAATTCCTTTAATAATTTTTAAACTATATACATTTTTTTTTGTCATTTTCTTAGTGATAGCTGTAGGGCTGATACTATACATCTCAGTTTATCCGAATGTACTCCAGATTTATATTAATGTAATTACAGGGAACTGTACAAAAATCATTCCTATATGGCTCTATTTTCCCCACTTTTTGTGCTATTAGCGCAATATATTTTACATGTATATATGTTATAAACTCAACAATGCATTACTATAATAATTATTTTACAAATAATTATTTTATGACTTTTAAATAAAATATTTTATTTTTAAAAAATAATTATTTTGTGTATTTTTAAAAAGCTGAGAGAACACAAAACATGTATTAATAGAGGCTGTTATGTTATCTTTTTATTTTCTATTTCTTGTTCTGTTAATTTCTTCCTTTAGTTTTGAGAGAACATCTGGTGCCATTTCTTCACTCTAATACTGATTTTGTGCCCACATTTGTGTGCTAGTATCATCAACTATGTTATATTTATATGTGTTGTAAGCCCAACAATATGTGTATGTGCACATGCAATTAATTTATTTTTAATATTTTTTACTTTTTATTGATATTATTGTGGTTTGATTGTTGTGGGTACATAGTAAGCATATATCTTTATGGGTTACATGAGGTGTTTTGATACAGGTATGCAATGTGTAATAATCACTTTGGGGTAAATTGGGTATACATTACCTCAAGCATTTATCTTTTGTGTAGCAAACAATTCAATTATATACTCTAAGTTATTTAAAAATGTACAATTAAATTATTTTTGAGTATATTCAACCTGTTGTGCTATCAAATTTTAGATCGTATTAATTCAGTTTATTTTGTACACATGAACCACCCCCATTCTCCCACCCAACCCTCCAGTACATTTCCCAACCTCTGGTAACCATCCTTCTATTCTCTATCTCTGGGTTCAATTATTTTAATGTTTAGCTACCACAAATAACTAAGAACATGTGAAGTTTATCTTTCTGTGCCTGGCTTATTTCACTTAACATAATGACCTCTAGTTGTTGCACATGGCAGAACCTCATTCTTTTTTATGGTTGAATAATACTCCATCGTGTAAATGTGCCACATTTGTTTAATACATTCATCTACTAATGGACACTTAGGTTGCTTCCAAATCTTGGTTATTGTAAATATTGCTGCTGTAAGTATAGGAGTGCATACAACTCTTTGATATACTAATTTCCTTTCTTCGGATATATATCTAGGAGTGGGATTGCTGAATCATATGGGAGCTTTATTATTAGATTTTTGAGGAATCTCCGAATTGTTCTCCATAGAAGTTTTACTAATTTACATTTCCACCAACAGTGTGTGAGGGTTCCCTATTCTCCACACCCTCACCAACATTTATTATTGCCTGTCTTTGGATATAAGCCATTTTAATTGGGACAAGATAATATCTCATTGTAGTTTTGATTTGCATTTGCTGTCCTTGTGGTCTGGACTGCCTTTCAAGTTTACTTAGAGCCCCAGAGCTCTTTAGCCTATTGTGGTGAGGCTTGTTGTAACTCAAGTTCTGACCCTGGGATCGGCAATTCCCCTCTGGCTAGGACTGGTTTAATTATTCCCTCTATGATTGGGCATCAGCTGAATTCAGACTGATTTTGCATTCTGCCATGATGGGGCAGCAGTGAGTTCGATGCGATGCCTCACAATTGCTGTGCTCTCCCTTTCCCAAGCACATGGATTCTCTCTCTGCGCCACGCAGCTGCTGCCAGGAGTTGGGGGAAGGATGGCATTGGCAATTCAAGATGCTTTTCTATGTCTTGAGTGCCTTTTTTCATAATATGAAGTTAAAACCAGGTACTTTGAGTGTTCAGCTGATTTTTTGTTGTTATGAAGGTGATTTTGTTGTGTATATAGTTGTTAAATTGGTGTCGTTGTGGTAGGAAGGATAATTGGTGGAATCTTCTAATCCACAATCTTGTTCCACCCGCTAATATACTTTACTTTTTAGAGTAGTTTTTGTTTTTCGTGGCAAAATTGAGAGGAAAGCACACAGAGTTCTCATATTTTCCATCTTCATACACATACATTCTCTCCTGTATTCACATTCTACACCAGACGGATAAGTTTGTTGAAACTGCAATTACTTTTCAAATCACTTATGAGAAGAGAAGAAATAACCAAATGTACTGTGCTATAGTTACCTACATCCTTTTCTTCACCAATTCGCTTTGTATTTAATTTTGTGTGTGTATGTGTGTTTGTTTACATATGTAGATTCAAACTATAGTCTTGCATTACTTTAATTCTGCCTGAAAAATTTCCTTTAGTGTTTCCTGTAATCTGCTAGTGATAAATTATCTCGGTGTTTGTTTATGTGAGAAAGTATTTATATTGCATTTATTTTTTAATTTTGTTCATAAAACTTTATGAGGTATGTATTAGTCCATTCTCATGCTGCTGTATAAGAATACCTGAGTCTGGGTAATTTATGAAGGAAAGAGGTTTAATTGACTCACAGTTCAGCATAGCTGGGGAGTCCTCAGGAGACTTATAATCATGGTGGAAGGGGAAGCAAATGCATCCTTCTTTAAGCAAATGATTCCTTCTTCACATGGCGGCAGGAGAGAGAAGTGCCAAGCGAAGGGGAAAGGCCCCTATAAAACCATCAGATCTTGTGAGAACTCACTCACTATCATGAGAACAGCATAACAACTCCCATGATTCATTTACCTACCACCAGGTCCCTCACATGCCACATGGAGATTATGGGAACAATTCAAAATGAGATTTATGTGGGGACACAGCCAAACCATATCAAGGTATAAGTACAATTTTGTTACATGAGTACTAGGCAAGTCAGTGCTTTTAGGCCATCTGTCACCTTAATAACATACATTATGCACAGTAATTTCTCATCATCTACCTCCTCTCATGCCCCTAATTTTCTGAGTATCCGTTGTCTATCATTCCCCTCTATACATAACTTTGTACTTCTTTTTTAGCACCTACTTATGAGAGAGAATATGCAATATTTGTGTTTCTGTGTTTAGCTTGTTTCACCTAAGTTAATGACCTCCAGTTCCACGCATGTTGCTGTGAAGACCATCATGTTATTCTTTTTTATGAATGAATATTCCATTGCATATATACCACATTTTCGTTATCCAGTCATCCACTGATAGACACATGTTTTTTCCATGTCTTTGCTATTGTGAGTAGTGCTGTGATGAACATATTAGTTCAAGTATCTTTCTGATATAATAATTTCTTTACTTTTGGGTAGATACCCAGTAATGGAATTGCTATAGTGAATGGTAGTTGTATTTGTAGTTCTAAAAGCTCCATTTCTGTTTTTCACAGAGATTGTACTAAGTTATATTCCCATTAACAGTGTGTAAGAATTCCCTTTTTTTCTGAATCTTAGCCAATATCTGTTTTTAATATTTTTAATATTAGCCATTCTGACTGATGTGAGGTGGTATCCCACTGTGGTTTTAATTCGCATTTCTCTGATGATTATTAATATTGAGCTTTTCTGTATTCCTGTTGACATTTGTATATCTTCTTTTGAAAAATGTCTCCTTACGGTTATTGCCCACTTTTTAATGGGATTATTTGTTTTGTATTTGTTGTCACTGTTGTCGAGTTGTTTGAGTTCCTTGCATATTTTTGATTTTAGTCCCCATCAGATGAATGGCTTGTAAATTCCATTTTGTTTATGCCATTTTGCAGGTTGACACTTCACTCTGTTTTTTGTTTTGTTTTGTTTTGTTTTTGCTGTGGAGACCATTTTCAATATAAGTCCCATTAAAAAAATTTTATTTTAGTTGCCTGTGCTTTTAAGGTCTTAGTCATAAATTGCTGTCCTAAAACCAATGCCCAGAAGAGTTTTCTCTAGGTTTTCTTCTCATATTTTTATAGTGTCAGGTCTTGTGTTTCAGTTTTTAATCCATCTTCAGTTTATTTTTGTACCTGGTGAGAGATAGAAGTTCTGTTGAATTCTTCTCCATACGGCAATCTAGTTTTCCCAGCATCATTTATTAAAAGGGTTTTATATTTTCCAATATATGTTTTAGTAATATTTGTCAAAAATCAGTTAGCTGTAAATATGTGGCTTTATTTCTGTGTTCTCTATTATGTGCCATTTATTTGTCAGGTTTTTATATAGATAACATGCTATTTTGGTTAATATGATTTGAATTCAGGTAATTTGATGCTTCCAGCATTTTTCTTTTAGCTCAGGACTGCTTTGGCTATTCATGCTCTTTTCTGGTTCCATATGAATTTAATAATACATATTTATAATCCTGTAAATATGAAATTAATATTTTGATAGAGATTTCATTGAATCTGTAGATTGCTTTGGGCAGTGTGGTCATTTTAATAACATTAATTCTTGCAATATATGAGCATAGATGTTTTCCCATTTGCTTGTGTTATCATGATATCATATCATCACTAAACAGGGGTAAGTTTACTTCCTATTTTCCAATTTGGATATCTTTTATTTCTTTGTCTTGCTTGATTGCTCTGGCTCAGACTTCATATACCGTCTTGAATAGGAGTGTTGAAAGTGCACCATCTAGTCTTGTTCTAGTTTCCATAAGAAATTTTGTCAAATTTTCTTTGTTCAGTATGATGTTGGCTATTTGTCACTTATGGCCTGTATTATCTGAGTTATGTTCCTGCTCTGACTAGTTTTGAGGGCTTTTATTATGAAGGGATGCTGAATATTATCAAATGCTTTCTTCTGTATTTATTAGGATGATATACATTTTGTTCTTCATTCTATTGATGTGATGTATCACATTTATTGGTTTGCATGCATTGAACCATCATTGCATCCCTGGTATAAAATCTATCTTAAGATAATATATTATCTATTTAACGTGCTATTGGATTTAGTTTCCTAGTATTTTATTAGGGATTTTTGTGTCTATGTTCATCAGGGATATTAATTTGTAGTTTTCTTTTTGTGTGTGTGTCCTCATCTGGTTTTGGTATCAGGATGATACTGGTGTCATAGAGAAGAATAAGTTAAAAAGCACTCTCTCCTCCTCAATTTTTGAAACAGTTTAAGAACGATTAGTTTTAGTTCATTTTTGCACTTCCGATAGAATTCAGCTGTGAATTCATCTGGTCCTGGAATTTTTGTTGTTGTTGGAAGGAGAATTTTTTTATTATTGATTCAATCATTGCTCTCTTCAAGTTTTCTGTTTTTTTCCTTGTCGAATCTTGGAAGGTTGTATGTTTACAGAAATGTACACATTTCCATTAGATCAAGTTATATTTGTTTTATGAACACGGGAACTCTAGTGTTGGGTGCATCTATATTTACAGTTGTTATGTCATCTTGCAGTATTTAAACCTTTTATTATTATATAATGGCTTTATTTGTCTTTTTTTGCTGTTTTTGATTTAAAGTTTGTTTTATTTCTGATATAAGTCTTGCCTACTCCTTATCACCTTTGGTTTGGGATATTTTTTACACTTCTTTAGTTTCAGTCTATATGTGTCTTTAAAAGTAAGGTGAGTTTCTTGCAAGCATCATATACTTGAACTGTGTTTATATTTATCCCTTAAGCCAATCTAGATGTTTTGAGGGGGAATTTAAATTAGTCCATTTATATTTAAGGCTCATATTGTCATGTTAAGGTTGTGCCTGTAATAGTATTAAATATTTTCCTGTTGTTTTATAAATTGTTTGTTTATTTCTTTTACTCTGACTATTGTTTGGTGGTATTCTGTAATGGTGCTATTTGATTCATTTATCTTCTTTTGTGTAATTACTTTACCTATGAGTTTTATACTTTTATGTGTTTTTATGATGGTGATTATGTTCTTTATCTCCCATGTTTAGAACCCTCTTGAACATTTTCATAGGGTCGGTGTAGTGACGATGAATTTCCTCAGCATTTGCTTGACCAGGAAGGACATTTTTGTGTTGTATTTTCTTGAGGATTGCTGGAACTCTTATATGTTTATGTCTAAATCTCTTGCTAGACTTAAAATTTTTATCTGTTATTTCATTACATAGGTTTTCGAAAGCTGTTACTCTTACTTCTCCCATTTTAATGCTGATACTTCATAAATGCTGTTGTTTTATGTAGTCCCAAATGTTTAAAAAGCTTTGTTCTTATTTTTATTATTGTTTCTTAATTTGTCTGACTAGGTTATTTCAAATATTTAAAGTTCTGAATTTTTTGTCTGCTTGATCTAGTCCATTATTGAAGCTTTCAAGTGTTTTTTGTATTTTCTTCAATAAATTTTTCAGTTTCAAAATTTTTGTTGCTAATTTATTTTAAAGATATCTGTCTCCTTAGTAGATTTTTTACTCATATCCTGAGTTGGTTTTTTGAGTTCTTTGTATTGGTTTTTGGATTTCTTTTGCATATCTCTGAGCTTTATGAAAATCAATATTTTGAAATGTTTATCTGGCATTTCAAGTGTTTCTTTTTGGTTAGAGCATTTTAGAGCATTTGGCCCAGCATTCTATTGCTGGAGAATTATCGTGTTCCTGTGAGGGTGCCATATTACCTCATGTTTTTCATGTTTCCTTTGTCTTTGCCTTGGTTCCTGCACATCTGCTTTCATTTGTGGAAAGTTAGTTTTCCTGAATATAAGATTTATAGTTGACCTTTTTTTCCCTCTTTAAGCCCTTTTAATTTGCCAATACTTGACTTTCTGGCCTACTTTGTTTCTGAGGAAAAGTTATCTATTAAACTTATTTGGGTTCCCATGTACATGATGAATTATTTTGTTTTTCTCTTGTTGCTTTCAAGATTTTCTCTCATTTTTGTCCTTTACAAAATTTATTGTTTTAACTGACAAATAGATTTTGTGTATATTTTTATGTACTACATGTTGAAATGTGCTTACATTGTGTGATGTCTCAGTTGAGCTAATTAACATATATAAAAGTATGGTATATATACACATCATAGTATTCAGACTTAAAAAAAATAAAATTTTGTCATTTGTGTTGATATGAATTAACTTGGAGGATAGTATGTTAAGTGAAATAAGCCAAGCACATAAGGAGCTATACTGCATTATCTCACTTACATGTGGCATATAAAATAGTTGAACTCATAGAAGTGGACAGTAGAATGGTGATTACCGGAGGCTTAGGTTGTTGGGGTGGGGGTATAAATGGAGAGATATTTGTCAAGGGATGCAAAATTGTAGTTAGATAACAGATATAGATCAAGTATTCCCCTTGGCCTTCATCAGTTTTACTATGATGTTTCTGCTTATAGATCTCTTTGTGTTTGTCATATTTGGAGTTTGTTAATTTATAAGTCAACATTTTTCAACATATTTAGGAAGTTTTCAGTTGTTTATTTTAGTGTATATTTTCCCTGGTCTTTTCTCTCTCTCTCCATTTCTTCTATTCCAATTACATATTTCTTGGTGTTCTTAATTGTGCCTCAAATTTTTCTGAAGAAATACTTCATTATTTTTCTGTTTATCAGATTACAGAATTTCTTTTAATGTATATTCAAATTGGTTAATTGTTTTTTCTGCCACTTCAAATCTAGTATTGTTGCTTTGTACTGGATGTTTTATTTCAATCAGGATATTGATCTGAGAGATTTCTGACATCAGAACTTCCATTTGGTTCTTTAAGTTATAATTTTTATATCTGTACTTATATTAATATTTTGATGGGGCATTGTCATTATACCTTCACTTAAGTCTCTAAAAATGGTTTCCTTTAATTCTTTGAACATATTTTAAATAGCTGCTTTGAAGTCCAACATTTGTTTATCCTCAAAAGCTTCAAATTGTCAGTTCCTGGGTTTTTTTGTTGTTGTTTCGTGTTTGCATACTTCACACTTATAGATATTTTGCAATCTTTTATTTAATCAGTGGAAATTTAAGATAATATATTTTAGCATCTCTAGATGGTGGATCGCCTCATTTCTCAATGCTTACTTTTGTTGTTTGCTTGTTTACTTTTCTTTTTGTTTTTGCACCTTAGCTGGATTAGTTGTGTAAAATTTATTTCACCCAAAGTATACAACCTCTGACTTTGCTCATCATGAAGAGCAGCCATAGACATGTGCATTAGTTTGTTCTCATGCTGATATGAAGAAATACCCAAGACTGGGTACTTTATAAAGAAAAGAGGTTTAATTGACTCACAGTTCTGCATAGCTGAAAAGGCCTTAGGAAAGTTACAATCATGACAGAAGGCATCCCTTCACAGGGTGACAGGAGAGGGAATGAGTGCCGAGCAGAGGGGAAAGCCCCTTATAAAACCATCAGATCTCGTGAGAACTCACTTTCATGAGAACAGCATGGGAGAAACTGCCCCCATGATTCAATTATCTCCACCTTGTCCCACCCTTGACATCTGGGGATTATTACAATGCAAGGTGAGATATAGGTGGAAACACAGAGTGAAACCATATCAACATATATACAGTCACCTTAACAATAAACAGTGACTGGTTTTAGCCCGGCTTCCTCTTTCTCTTTATCTGATATCTCCATCAAGCTCGTTTGCTTTTATTAGTATCATGGCCAGCTGTTAGCCTCCACTAATTGCTAACTGATTGCTATATTGTTTTTCACGAATCTCTGAGGCAAAAATTGTTCCATGGCCTGATGAAATTGAAGTTGGTCTACTTTTTAGAGGAGGATATTTTTGGTCTTTGAGTCTTGCTCTGACTCCAGGAGGGCTTATCTTAGATTCTTTTTCTCGTTATCTCTGTTAAAATTCTAGCTGAACTACACTTTTATTTGCTGTTTGTTGCTCAATACCAAGATCTCCACTGCTTTCCTGTAATTCTCTCACCTACAAAACCTCCCACAGTCTGTTTCAAATAAAGTCAGTCTATTTAGCCAGAGTTGTAGACTTGTGTGTTCTTGTGGCCCTGCCTCTCCACCTGAACAAAACTTCTGTGCCACTGTACCTGAGATGGATACAATTACAATGAAATTCTTCTCTTGGAATGTAATTCTGCAGTTCTATGAGTGGGTAAACTTAACTGTGACAGTAGGTCCTTTTATTTTTAACTTGTCCCTTCTATTTTGGAATGTTTCCTTATGAACAAGCTTGAACAGAGACTATTGGGTCCCAGTGTTTTCAGCCTGTCTCACATGGAGTTAATTCTTCCACTCTACAAATGGGGAATATGTAAGGGAAGGAAGTTCCAATATCCTAGGTTGTGCCTGTCAGGAAAAAAAAAAAAAAAAAAACTTTTACAACACAGAGCTGTGGGTAGATGACGTACTGTCAGCCTAACCCTTTATGCCATATAAATTCCAAGATGCAATCAATTGTAAGAGTTTTTAATTGTAATTTGAACTAATACTGGTTTCTTAGAAAAAATCAACTATCATATTAATTTTAGGTTTCAAAAATTTCGATATATTTGGCCCAAAACCTAGTGAAAGAAATGCTGTGAACACAGGAAGGCTGAGCAAGATGGCAGAATAGAAGCCGACAGCGTTCATCCCCCCACCACTGGAACACCAAATTTTAACAACTATCTGCACACACAAATGCACCATCACAAGAACCAAAAATCAGGTGAGCAATCACAGTACCTGGATTTACATTCATATCACAGAAAGAGGCACTGAAGATAGCAGGACAGACAGTCTTGAATCGCCAATACCAGCCTTTCTGTATCCTCCCCTGGCAGCAGCTGTGCACTTTGGGGAGGGAGAGTACAGTGACTGAGGGAATTTACACTGAACTCAGTGCTGCCCTGTCACACTGGTGAATAAAGTTATGCTGGGCTTAGTCAATGCCTGGACATTGAGGGGGAGTTTGTACCAGCCCTAGCCAGAAGGAAATTGCCCATCCTAGTGGTCAGAACTTGAGTTTCTAGGCAAACCTTGCCACCGCACACTGAAGTGCTCTGGGGTCCTAGGTAAACTTGGAAGGCAGTCTAGCACACAAGAACTGCAATTCCTAGGCAATTCCTAGTACTAGGCTGGGCTTAGAGCCAGTGTACTAGAGTGGCACATGACCTAGGGAGACACCAGCTGGCATGGCTATGGGAGTGCTCTTGCCCTCCCTCCTCCAACCCCAGGCAGTGCAGCTCACAGTAACAAAGGTGACTCTTTCCTTCTGCTTTAGTAGAGGAGAACAGAGTAAAGAGGATTTTGTTTTGCATCTTGGATACCAGCTTAGCCATAGTAGGATAGGGTACCAGGCAGAGATGTGAGGTACCCTTTCCAGGTCCTATCCCCAAGATAACATTTCTAGATATCTCCTGGGCTAAAAGGGAACACACCGCCTTGAAAGCAAGAGCCCAGTTCTGGCAGAATTGATCAACTCCTGAATAAAGAGCTCTTTGGCCTTGAATAACCAGGAGCAATATCCAGGGAGTGCTGTGGGCCTTGGGCTCTGAGACATGCTGGCTTTTGGGTGATGCAGCACATTCCCAGCTGTGGTGGCTAGAGTGAAAGACTTCTTCTGCATGAGAAGACACAGGGGAAACTAAAGAGGACTTTGCCTTAAACTTTAGGTACCAGCTCAGCCACAGTAGCGTAGAGCAAAAATTAGGTGTTGGGGGAACCTCAGTCCAGGCCTACCCACATAGATACCATTTCTAATCCTGCCTTCGGTCAGAGTAGAGCACACTGCCCTGAAGAATGAGTCCAAGGCCAGGCAGTATTTACCACAAACTGACAGAAGAGTCATTGGGCTTTTTGTGTGTTTGCTTGTTAGTTTTTGCATGCAGTAAGTGTTAAATTGTCATCAATTAAAAATAATGCATTAGAACATGGTATTTGCAAGCCTTATAGTAACCCCAGATACACACACACACACACACACACACACACACACACACATGAGAAGATATCCACACAAAAAAGCAATTAAAGCAGACCATCAGAGAAAAACATCTTCACTTAAATAAAGACAGCAAGAAAAGAAAGAAGAAAAAAAAAAGACTGCCAAACTACCAAAACTCGAATTAAAAAATGGCAGGAGTAAGTTGCTACTTATCAATAATAACATTAAATTCAAATGAACCAAACTCTCCAATCTAAAGACATAGAGTGACTGAATGAATGAAAAAACAAGACCCAGTGATCTGTTGCCTATCAGAAACACATTTCACCTATAAAGGTACACACAGATTGAAAATGAAAGAATGGAAAAAGATATGCTATGGCAAGGGAAACCAAAAAAGAGCAGGAGTAGTTACACTTGTATCATACAAAATAGATTTTAAGACAAAACTATAAGAAGATACAAAGAAGATCATTATATAATGATAAAGGGGTCAATTTAGCAAAAGGATGTAACAATTGTAAATATATATGCACCCAACACTGGAGAACCCAGATATTTAAAGCAAGTATTATTAGAGAATAAGAAAGAGATAAACCCCAAAACAGTAATATCTGGAGAGTTCAACATCCCACTTCTAGCATTGTACAGATGTCCCAGAAAGAAAATCAGAAAAGAAACTTTGGATTTGATCTGCACTATAAAATAAATGAATTGAATGGATATTTACACAAAAATTCATCCAATGGCTGCAGAATAAACATTATGTTCATTAGCACATGAATGATTCTCAAACATATTCCATATGGTAGGTCACAAAACAAGTCTTAAAACATTCAAACATCAAATTAATATCAAGCATCTTCTCTGACCACAATGGAATAAAACAAGAAATCAATAATGAGTGGAATTTTGGAAACTATACAAACACATGGAAATTAAACAATATGCTCCTGAATGACCAGTGGGTCAATAAAGAAATTAAGAAAATTGAAAAATTTATTGAAACAAATAATAATGAAAACACAACAGACCAAAACCTATGGAATACAGTAAAAGCAACACTGACTGGAATTTATAGCTGTAAGTTCCTACATAAAAAAAAGAAGAAAAATTGTGATGTGGTTTGACTATGTCCCCACCCAAATCTCAATTTGAATTGTATCTCCCAGAATACCCACGTGTTGTAGGAGGGACCCAGGGAGAGATAATTGAATCATGGGGTCTAGTCTTTCCTGTGCTATTCTCGTGATAGTGAATAAGTCTCACAAGATCTAATGAGTTTATCAGGGGTTTCTGCTTTTGCTTCTTTCTCATTTTTCTCTTGAGGCCACCATGTAAGAAGTGCCTTTCACCTCCCACCGTGATTCTGAGGCCTCCCCAGCCATGTGGAACTGTAAGTCCAATTAAACTTCTTTTCTTTCCCAGTCTCGGGTATGTCTTTATCAGCAACATGAAAATAGACTAATAGAGTAAATTGGTACCAGTAGAGTGGGGTGTTGCTGAAAAGATACCTGAAAATGTGAAACCAACTTTGGAACTGGGTAACAGGAGAGGCTGGAACACTTTGGAGCACTCAGAAGAAGACGGGAAAATGTGGGAAAGTTTGAAACCTCCTAGAGACTTGTTGAATGGCTATGACAAAAATGCTGATAGTGATCAACAGTAAAGTTCCAGGCTGAGGTGGTCTCAGATGGAGATGAGGAACTTGTTGGGCACTGGAGCAAAGGTGACTCTTGTTATGTTTTAGCAAACAGACTGGGGGCATTTTGCCCCTGCCCTGGAGATTTGTGGAACTTTGAACTTGAGAGAGATAGTTTAGGGTATCTGGCGCAATAAATTTCTAAGCAGCAAAGCATTCAAAATCTGAATTGGTTGCTGTTAAAAGGATTCCATTTTAAAAAGGAAACAGAGCATAAAAGTTCAGAAAATTTGCAGCCTGATAACGCAGTAGAAAAGAAAAACCCTGACCAGACGCAGTGGCTTACGTCTGTAATCCCAGCACTTTGGGATGCCGAGGCGGGCAGATCACGAAGTCAGAAGATCAAGACCGTCCTGGCCAACATGGTGAAACCCCATCTCTAGTAAAAATACAAAAAAAAATTAGTCAGGTGTGGTGGTGTGTGCCTGTAGTCCCAGCTACTCGGGAGGCTGAGGCAGGAGAATTGCTTGAACCCGGGAGGCAGAGACTGCAGTGAGCCAAGATCGTGCCGCTGCACCCCAGCCTGGTGACAGAGCGAGACTCCGTCTAAGAAAAAAAAAAAAGAAAGAAAGAAAGAAAAGGAAAACCCATTGTTTGAGGAGAAATTCAAGCTGACTGCAGAAATTCACATAAGTAGCAAAGAGCCTAATGTTAATCCTCAAGACCATGGGAAAAATGTCTCCAGGCCATGCCAGAGACTTTCACAGCAGCTCCTCCCATCACAGGTCCAGAGGCCCAGGAAGAAAAAGTGGTTTCATGGGCCAGGCCCAGGGTCCCCATGCTGTGTGCAGGCTAGGGACTTGGTACCCTGGGTTCCAGCCACTAAAGCTGTGGCTGAAGGGGACCAATGTGGAGCTCGAGCTGTGGCTTCAGAAAGTGGAAGTTCCAAGCCTTGGCAGATTCCGTGTGGTGTTGAGCCTTCAGGTGCACAGAAGTCAATAATTGAGGTTTGGAAACCTCTGCCTTGATTTCAGAAGATGTATGGAAATGCCTGGATGCCCAGGCAAAAGTTTGCTGCAAGGGCAGAGTGGCTCATGGAGAACGTCTTCTAGGCCAGCGCAGAAGGAAAATGTACGTGAGGTTGGAGCCCCCACACACAGTCCCTACTGGGGCACTGTCTAGTGGAGCTGTGAGAAGAGGTCCACCGTCCTCCAGAACTCAGAATGGTAGATCCACTGGCAGCTTGCACCATGTGCCTGGAAAAGCCACAGACACTCAATGACAGCCCATAAAAGCAGCCAGGAAGGAGGCGGGACCCTGCAAAGCCAGAGGCGTGGAGCTGCACAAGACCATGTGAACCCACCTTTTGCATCAGCATGACATGGATACGAGACCCGTAGTCAAAGGAGATCATTTTTGAGCTTCAAAATTTGACGGCCCCACTGAATTTTGGACTTGCGTGGGCCCCGTAACCCTTTTGTTTTGGCCAGTTTCTCCCATTTGGAATGGTTGTATTTACCCAATACCTGTACCCTCATTGTATCTAGGAAGAAACTAGTTTGCTTTTGATTTTACAGGCTCATAGGTGGAAGGGACTTGCTTGTCTCAGATGAGACTTTGGACTGTGGATTTTTGGGTTAATGCTGAAATGAGTTAAGACTTTGGGGGACTGTTGGGAAAGCATGATAGGTTTTGAAATGTGAGGACATTAGATTTGGAGAGGCCAGGGGTGGAATGATATGGTTTGGCTGTGTCCCCACCCAAATCTCAACTTGAATTGTATCTCTCAGAATTCTCAGGTGTTGTGGGAGGGACCCAGGGGGAGGTAATTGAATCATGGGGGCCAGTCTTTCCTGTGCTATTCCCATGATAGTGAATAAGTCTCATGAGATCTGATGGGTTTATCAGGGGTTTCCACTTTTGCTTCCTCCACATTTTTCTCTTCCTGCTGCCATGTAAGAAGTGCCTTTTGCTTCCTGCCATGATTCTGAGGCCTCCCCAGCCACATGGAACTCTCAGTCCAATTAAACCTCTTTTTCTTCCCAGTCTCGGGTATGTCTTTGTCAGCAGCATGAAAATGGGCTAATACAAACTGCAAATAAATAAATTAACAATGTGTCTTAAAGATGTAGAAAAACAAGAACAAATAAAACTCCAAATCAGGAGAAGAAAATAAATATTAAATATCAGAGCATAAATAAATTAATTTGAAATGAAGAAAATATAAAATATCAAGGAAACATAAAGTTGGTATTTTGAAATTTTAAACAAAATTGACAAAACTTTAGCCAGACTAAGAAAAAAAGTAAGAGAACCCAAATAAATAAAATCAGAGATGAAAAATGATACATTACGACTGATACCACAATAATTCAAAGATCACTAGTGGCTACTGTGAGCAACTATATGCCAATAAAATGAAAAATCCAGAATATGTTGACGAATTCATAGACAAAATCTACCAAGATTGAAACAGGAAGAAATAAAAAACCTGAAGAGACCAATAACAAGTAACAAGTTCAAAGCCATAATCTAAAAATCTGCCAGCAAAGAAAACCGTGGGACCCAAAGGCTTCACTGCACAATTCTACCAAACACTTAAGGAACTAATACCAATGTTACTCAAAATGTTGTAAAAAATAGTGGATGTGGCTGGGCACGGTGGGTCACACCTGTAATCCCAGCACTTTAGGAGGCCAAGGCGGGCAGATCACCTGAGGTCAGGAGTTCAAGAACAGCCTGACCAACATGGAGAAACCCCATCTCTACTAAAAATACAAAATTAGCTGGGCATGGTGGTGCACGCCTGTAATCCCAGCTACTTGGCATGCTGAGGCAGGAGGATCACTTGAACCCAGGAGGCAGAGGTTGCAGTGAGCCAAGATCGTGCCATTGCACTTCAGCCTGGGCAATAAGAGCAAAACTCTGTCTCAAAAAAAAAATAATAATAATGGAGGAGGGAATAGTTCTAAAATCATTCTACAAGGCCAGTATTACCCTGACTTTGAAAAAATACAAATAAAAATAAAACTACAGGCCAATATCTCTGATGAACATTGAGGCAGAAATCCTCAATAGCACAGTAGAAAACTGAATTTAATAATACATTAAAAAGATCATACACCATGATACTAAGTGGGATTTACCCCTGGGATGCAAGGTTGGTTCAACATATGCAAATCGATCATTATGACACCTTATATCAACAGAAGGAAGGACAAAACCATATGATCATTTCAACTGATGCTGAAAAAGCATTTGATAAAGTTCAGCATACTTTCAAAATAAAAACCCTCAAAAAACTGGGTATAGAAGCAGTATTCCTCAACATAATAAAAGCCTTATATTACAGATACACAACTAGTATCGTACTGAATGGGGGAAAACTGAAAGCTTTTCCTCTAAGATCTGTAACACAACAAGGATGCCTACTTTCACCCCTGTTATTTCATATAGCACTGAAAGTCTTAGCTAGAGCAATTAGACAAGAGAAAAAAATAAAAGATATCCAAATTGGAAAGAAAGAAGTCAAATTATTTTTGTTTGCAGATGATATGATCTTATATTTGGAAAAACCTAAAGACTCCACCAAAATGCTATTAGAACTGATTTAAAAATTCAGTGAAATAGAGGGATATAACATCAACATAACCCAAATCAGTAGCCTTCCTATATGCGAAATGGTGAAAAAACCCTCAAGAAGAAATAAAAACAGCAATCTTATTTACCATAGCCACAAATAAAATTAAATACCTAGGAATTAACTTATCCAAAGAAGTGATAGATCTCTACAGTGAAAACTATAAGACATTGATGAAAGAAATGGAAAAGGACACCAAAAAAATGGAAAAATATTCCATGTTCATAGATTTAAAAAATCAGTATTTTTAAATTGTCCATACTATCAAAGGCAGTCTACAGATTCAGTGCAATCTCTATTAAAATACCAATTACGTTCTTCACAGAAATAGAAAAAACAATTCTAAAATTTATATGGAATCACAAAAGACCTAGAGTACCCAAAGCTATCCCAAGCAAAATGAACAAAACTAGAAGAATTACATTACCTGGTTTCAAATTATACTACAGAGCAATATTTACCAAAACAACATGGTACTGGCATAAAAACAGTCAAATAGACTAATAGAACAGAATTGAGAACCCCGTAATAAATCTATACACCTACAGTGAATTCATTTACAACAAAGGTGCCAAGAACATACATTGGGGAAAAACAGTCTCTTCAGTATATGGTGCTGGAAAAACTCGATATCCATGTGCGGAAGAATAAAACTAGACCCCTATCTCTCATCATACACAAAAATCAAGTCAAAATGGATTAAAGACTTGAAGACCTCAAATTATGAAACTACTGAAAGAAGACTTTGGGGAAACTGTCCAGGACATGTGGGCAAATATGTCTTGAGTAAAACACCACAAACACAGGAAATGAAAGCAAAAATGGACAAATGGAATCACATCAAGTTAAAAAGCTTCTGAACCGCAAAGGAAACAATCAACAAAGAGAAGAGAAAACCCCCATAATGGGAGAAAATAGTTGCAAAATACCTATCTGACAAGGAATTAATAACAAGAATATATAAGAAGCTCAAAAAACTGTGTAGAAAAAAATCTAATGATCCCATCAAAAAATGGGCAAAAGATTTGAATAGACATTTCTCACAAGAAGGCATACAGATGACAAACAGGAATATGAAAATGTAATCAACATCACTGATAATCAGAGAAATGAAAATAAAACTGCAATGAATATCATGTCACTCAAATTAAAATGACTTATATTCAAAAGACAGGCAATAACAGATGCTGGCGAGGATGTGGAGAAAAGGAAACCGTCTTACACTGTCAGTGGGAATGTAAATTAATACAACTACTATTGAGAAAAGTTTGGAAGTTCCTCAAAATACAAAGAATAGAGCTACCGTAGGATCCAGTAATCCCGCTGCTGGGTATATACTCAAAAGAAAGAAATCAGGACATCGAAGGGAGATCTATACTCCCATGTTTATTGCAGCACTATTCATAATAACTAAGATTTGGAATTAACCTAAGTGCTTCCCTCAACAGAAGAATGGATAAAGAAAATGTGATACATAGACACAATGGAGTACTATCCAGCCACAAAAAAGAATGAGATCCTGTCATTTGCAACAACATGGATAGAACTGGAGGTCATTTTGCTAAGTGAAATAAGCCAGGCACAGAAACAAACATCACATGTTCTCACTTATTTGTGGATCTAAAAATCAAAACAATTGAATTCACGGAGATAGAAAATAGAAGGATGGTTATAAGTCTGGGAAGGGTTTTGGGGGGTTGGGGGGAGGTGGGGGGGCTTAGTTTGTACAAAAAATAGAATGAATGAGACTTAGTATTTCATTACACAATAGGGGGACTAAAGTCAATCATAATTGTACCTTTAAAAATAACTAAAAGAGTATAATTGGATTGTTGCAACACAGAGGATAAATGCTTGAGGGGATAGATACACAATTTTCCACGAAGCAATTGTTATGCACTTTGTGCAGTACCAAAATTTCTTATGTATCCCGTAAACATATACAACTACTCTGTACCCACAAATATTAAAAATAAAAAAAATTTAAAATGTGAGTTTTTGAACCCATATCATGAAAATAGAACTTACGTATAGTAATTGAATGCGTAAGTAAGGCAGAGTTTTTATGTCAGGAAATAATTTTGAATTAGCTTCCCTTTTGTTCATGTTCTCCATCTACATTGGTTGCATCTATGTATCATGGCTGTTGTATTTATGACTGACAATTATCTCAATTACTCAAAGATTTCATGTCTGTGCTTTCATAATCCAGGTGTTTTGTCATTAATTACATAGACCGTAAGATATGTCTCTCTCTTCCAAAATATTCTGCAAAATATCTTCTACCTATTACTATCACCTTAAAAAGGATTTCACACTGGCCTCTCTCTCCTCCCTTCTCTCTCAGCTCTATTGTGCTCTTTTTTTTCCACAGTTGGAGGAATTTTACTATCCATGGCTACGTATTATGCTAAGAGAGGTGGGATGCATTGGCCAAAGCTTCCTAAGGAGAGTCAGAATATTGCTTCTGTTCAAACTCCATGTCTGTGGTTTCCACAGCTTCCCCCAATTCCTTCCCCATTGCCATTAGTTTGTCACTCTGCCATAAGGGGATGTATAATAGGTTAAAATCTTTTCTGGATGGCCTCTGGTGAAAGCCTATTCAACAGCAGAGAGCTACAGGGGAGCTTGTGTGTTTTGGTTCTCAGGATCTTAAGCTTCACCTTTCTTGCTCTTCCTGCTGATGCTTCCATTCCAGCTGTTTTCTCCACTCCTCTTAAATGTCTCCCTCTATTAAGCTAGCCACTGAAGAATCACAGCTGTGCTCTCTTTTTGTAATCCCCCAAACTCTCAAACCAATATTCACTTCCATGATCTTCTATCATTCTGTACAAACATACATGAGAAGCTATTCCTAGGCAAAATGAATGAAATTGTTCTTTGTTGCTATGACAAGTCCACAGGCAGCCAAAATTCTCCTGTCCCATTGAGAAACAGAGGCAGGAAGTTACTAACATTTACATAAGTACTGAAAACTGACTGATTTCATATTAGATGCCCTTGAGATACCCAGGCCTCCAGCCAACTAAATTCCCATTTTCCCGCCTCAACATTAGTACATTAGACTTTTTGCCAAAGCTACTTGCTCAGCTGTAAGACCTCATGCTGTGACCAAGATAAGTGACTGTATAAATTAGAAGTGGAACCTCTAGCAGGAAGAATGAGAGCTAAAGAATCCCATAATCTAAAGGAATGTTTCACACCCATCTTTCCAAAGTGTATATATGCTAATGAATAAGGATACTCCTTACCAGTAGAAATCCCTACTTCTGTATTACCATATTATACTTATTTCATGTCCTCATAAATGTTATTTCCTTCTCAAATATTTTTCAGAAGAAAATATGGAGTCAGTAAATATCACAACATGCCTAAATATTCATATTACAGAATTTTCTCCTATAAAACTATCAAATCTTGGACTGAACTAATCCTCCAATATGTTTAGGCCCTTTCATTGCAATTCCATCTAGAGAGTTCACTGTGACTTTGTTCTCATTTCCCATCCCCTGACTATCCTACACTGCTCTCATGACAGTGTGTGTGTGTGTGTGTATATTCAGAAACGCTACTTGTTAACATTTCACAGCCAGAAAATGCACACAAGTATTGATTTTGTGTTTTTAATGAAGTTTTATTAAAATTCTCTTTTTCCAAAGCCACCAATTCAAGAAGGAAAATATTCAGGCTGTCAAATTGTTCTTTTGTCTGAATTAGTCAAGACTGTGCACATTATATTTCATATACCCAAAAGGGTTTAGAAACAAAACAATAGTCCAAAATATTTATAGAATTAATAATTCAGCAATGGTTAATGTGTTAAAATTATTTTCACTAATGAGAGAATGTTTAGTTCCGTAAAGGCCACGCAAAGAGTTGGACTGTCTATCTTCCAGAGCTCTGGTAAAAGGAGCATAACATTTTCTAAAAAGTGTTGTCATAGAAATAATATTTACTCCTCAAATATGTATGGAATTCCATAGTCTCCAAATATTTTCAAACTCATTACTTCATTTTGTAGTCTTGAAAAAACAAAAAAAAAAAGCAAATTTTACTTGTATCAATGCGACAGAGAAATTCTGAGAGCTAATCACACATACATATACCGTAGAGCCAGTCTCTACCAACTGCAAATTCTGTTTATCTCCTTGAGGTCAGGAGCGTGCATTCCCAGTGACCGTCACAGGGTATAGCAAATAATTGATATTTAGTAAATATGTGCTGAGTAAATGAATTAAGGACCTGTCTTGAGACAGAAGCCCTATGATAGGTTGTCTTCCCTGTCCAGCATGTCTACGGGGATTTGTAGGTGAGTATAGCTCATTGACGAGGCCATGTTGTTAGTGTCCAGAAAGATTGCAAAAAAGTGGCGACTATAAAAAAATAAATAAATAAATGTCAGCAACTGCTTTCTGTCTGTGTTGCTTTGTTTTTTTACCCAAGCCACTTGTGGTCACTCACTGTCTCCAAGTATCCTACAAGCACCCAGGCTGGACTTATTCTGGGGCAGTGTCTCATCGCTCTATAAAAAGTTTGTGTGATAATCTTAAAATCTTATTGCCAAGAGAATAATTCTGGCATGGTCTTGATCTTACTTTTGGCTTCCCAAACTATTCTTGGTCATTGTGATCCGGACTGATCTGCAATGGGATAGCCATTGCTTACGTCATTCCCTTTATTAGTGAAGATAATGTTCCCGGCCTTCACCTATTATTCCAAGGACTGATTCAGCAATTTTCTGCTTTCTAATCTGAATGCTCTGGATTGGAGTTCATGCAGTAAGTGATTTCTCTCTTCGTGATTAAAAATTTAAAGCATAATTTTGAAAGAGAAGGCTTTTCCACTTGGAGAACAAACTTAAAATAGATTCATCTGTGCAGTATCTGGAAGCTTCCTGGGAAACAGTATTATGCATTTTCCAGGTGTGACAGCCATGGAGGTGCACTGCTCAGATCACCCTTAAAGAGAACGTGCTGCAGGGAACACAGTAGACTGGCAGCTTCCAGCTGCTGCATCTTGGGATTCACTGTGGCGCTTGCTTCAAGGCCGCATTTCCCCTGGAGGCAGCTCCCAGTTAAGTGTTGATCCAACAAGGGTACCAGAGCCAGTCTGTCTCTGCTTGATGCAGGACTCCTCTCACAAGCTACTTTTGTGTGGGGCCCCCTCATTGGTCAGCCTGAGAGTTTCTCAGTAGTATGCTGCCGTCAGAAAACTGTATCATAATCAAAAGTCCTTCCCTACCTACTCTTGTTCCTTCCCCCTTTATCAATATATCTCTTGCATGTCTTATCCCATCTCAACATCTGCTTCTTGGAAGTTCCAAATTGACATCGAGCATGGCAGAAGAAATCTAAGAAAAAGAAGAAGATGGTAAGATGGGTTTCAGGACTGGCTCACTCCCTGCCTGGCTGGAAAGAATGACCCCTTTCTAAGTAAAATGAGAAGTAATAATAATCCCTGGCACACCATTACAGCACAGTTGCTGAAGATTTTTCCAGTGATGAACTGAAAGAATGTTTTGGTAAAGAAGAATGTACTTGCTGGAGTGAATATTCAGGCATTTGAAAAGTTTGATGGGTAGGGAAAAAATGTCTATAGGAACAGTACTGTTGGCTGGTTATAACTACAGGGTAATGCTACCCTGTAGAAGGATTTTGAAAAAATTGATAGTGGTTACGAAATAGTTAAGGGCTAAGTGTGTGAGTTAGCGAACGTTTCTGATAGCTTACAAAGAAGCCCTTTCCAACAGTGGAAGGGTAAACACAGCTGAAGATACTCAGGATTTAAAGGTTGAGAGCTCCAAAGATGTTTTAATAATGTTTGTCGATGGCTAGTCTGTTATGCTAACTTCAGTGTCCTGGGGAGAACAACTTAAGAAGCTGAAATATGAGATGGGGTTAACTGGGTGTATGGCCCTAAGATTTTTGCCTCTGGAGACGTCCTGGAATATTAAGAGCATGCAGAAGTTGCTCAGCACTCCCTCATATGACCTGGCGTCCCCCTTAGATGTGGGAAGACAATGAAGAGGCCTCTTTCAGAAAAGGTAACAGGTAATCCCCTCAGGAGTAGTGACCACCTGCCTTCTTGGTTGTCAGACCAACAACTAGGATTAAGTTCCCACAAAACCCAGGTAGGGGAGTTTTGAGCCTGATAATGGAGAAAATGGTTTACACCCTAAAGGAGCTCCAAGAAGTAGCTAGCTGTCTTAGTCAGTTCAGGCTGCTATAACTAATTGCCATTGTCTGGGTGGTTTAAACAACAGATATTTATTTCTCATAGTTCTGGAGGCTGGGAAGTTGAAGATCAAAGCACCATCAGATCTGGTGTCTGCTAAGGGTCTTCTTCTTTGTTTGCATATGGCTGTCTTTTTGCTGTGTCCTCATATTGGAGAAGGCAGAGAGTGAGAGGCAAGCTCTTGTGTTTCTTCTTATGAGGACGCTAATCCTATTCAGGAGGGTTCTACCCTCATGACATAATTATCTCCCAAAGCCCTACCTTTTGATATCATCATATCGAGTTGTTGGAATTTCACCTTGTGAATTTAGTGGGTAACACAAACATTCATTCCATAACACTAGCATGTACTGACCAGGAGCCAATAAATTACCCTTGGGACTCAATTTTGAAAGTGCTTGATCAAGGGATACAGATAAGTAAGAACTCATTATCTTGGAGGCATTTTTTTCAGAATATGGAATTTAATACTCTTGCAAGGACCTCAGTGGATGGAGCAAAGTTGCTGTTAGAATGGCTCATTAGAGACCAGGAGTAAAAAAAAATGGCACATGCAGAATGAAGTGGAAATTTCTGAGTTTCTCCAGCAGATGAGAGATTAAGGAATTAAAAACGCTTGGGGAAGTGAGCTAGAATAGATTAATGTATGATACCAGAAGGTCTTCCTGAGTATTATGTTTCACAAGATGGCCCAGATGACACATAGAAATAGAAATGTGTTTGTGAGAGGCCACCAGCGTCGCCTAGTTAAGTGTTGACCCTTTTCTGTAGGCCATGGTTGATTGTTATAGAGGCGGTCAGCGACGTATGCTTCTTTTAGAAGTATATATATATTCAGGAGGATGATGAGGTCCCCAAGTAACAAAGGCCAGAAGCCAGAATGATACAAACACCACAATGACCAGCTAGTTTGGAGTAGCACTTAAAAGGGCTTGTCGTGCAGGGAGATACAGATATTGTTACTTGAGCCTGATATAACTAGGGGAAAAATAGAAGGCAGACAACGAGGGTGCTGCTTAACATCTACAACCAGAAAGAAAAGCAAGAATGCCAGAGCAGGATGCTGATGACCATTTATGTGAATTACTTTACACTGATAAAAGGGAAATACTCAGACACTTTGTGAACTATTGATCAAAGAATCTAAGTAGACACTGATATCTGGAGACACAAAGAGTCACCATAGTTCCCCTACTAGAGTGAGAGCTTATAATGCAGGTGATGAATGAAGAACTGACTAATATCTGAATTAGAGTGGGTCCACTGGGTCTTCAGAGCCAGTCAGTGTTTACTTCTCCAGTTCTCAAGTGTATAATTTTGGTGTGCACTCCTGGAAGTTAGAGTGACACCCACATGGCGTGCTTGGTTTGTTAAGAGGTATCAGAGAGCGGAATACCAACTGAACATCTCAAAACTTCACCCTTTACCCTCAAGCCAAGATAATACATTAAAAACAGAAAGAAAAAAAAATAGTGCACCCTTGGGGAGATAAAAAGATGGTGAAAAATATTGTGGTCCCTATCATCTCTGCCTAATTTGGTATTCTGGGCCTTGAAGAAACCAGATAGATACAGGAAAATGACTGTAGTCTACTGCAAGATAAATCAAATAATAGTCTTGATTATAGCTGTCATTCCAGGATTCAAATAAAAACAGGAAGAGAGGAGATCAGCAGATAGCTCAGCCCCTCACACCACCTGTCATAGTTGTTTCAGGTTTCCACATTTATTGCACACCTATGGCCATATGGGGTTTTTCTATGTTTAACTGATAAAGAAGGGAAAAAGCCCAAGCCGTGTTACAAATGTATCAGCTTAGTTTTTGGGTGCAAGCCCAAAGGTGATGGTGGTTGCATTACAGCCACATTCAGAGGTGGCCTTAAAATAAGGAGAAAGGGGGCTGGGCATGATAGCTCATGCCTGCAATCCCAGCACTTTGCAGGGCTGAGATGGGAGGATCGCTTGAGCCTGGAGTTTGCAACCAGCCTGGGTAATATAGTGAGACATCATCCATATAAAAAGTTTAAAAATTAGCCAAGTGTTGTGGCATGGGCCTGTAGTCGCAGCTGCTCAGGAGTCTGAGGTGGGAAGATTACTTAAGCCCAGGAGGTGGAGATTGTAGTGAACCAAGATTGTGTCACTGTGCTCCAGCCTGGGTTACAGAGCAAGATCCTGTCTCAAAAAAAAAAAAAAAAAAAAAAAAAAAAAAAAAAAAGAGAGAGAGAGAAAAGGAGAGAGGTTATCTTCCCAATGTGTAGAGTTTGGATTAATGTATCTGGCAATCAACATTGTGTGGAAGAAGTGGCTTTAGCTGATAATATGAATAAATTTTGAGGCATTGGCCAAATGGCCTGGCTGTCTAGTTAAGGGTTTGGAAGTCAAAAGACTAGAAGATTGAAGAAAAGGAAACCTGTAATAGTATATGTCAACGGACACATAGGATGGACCAAAAAGTGTGAAGGTTTTTGCTTCATCAATACCTACCAGAGACCATCCACCATGAAAGAGGCATTGACCAACCAGACACCAATGACTCAACAACTTGATATTAGCCTGATTTTACTGATGGCCACTTGGGAACTGGTGCAAGGAGTGCAGGTGAGGACTGGTGGCCATCATAAAAGAGATTAAGGCTATAAATGGGCCCAACAAACATGGACTGTCACTTACAAAGTTCAATCTAGATACTTCTGCCCAGCGGTGCATTGAGGGTAATAATAGCAACAACAAAACTCAAACCAAGCTTAACTCCTGATGAGATTGACTCAACCTCCAACATTCATGACCTACCAAAGGAAGAAGTTTGCCAGTTTGAAGCCATCATCCTATTTCCCTCAGTCTCTGCTATCCTTTATGAAATATCTAGCATTTAATAAAACCTATGAGATTCACAGTAAAGCAAGAATAAACAATCTACTATGAACAGATACATCAATCAACAAAATTAGAGTCAGATTTCACCCAGACATTAAAACTATCAGAAAATTTAAAATAACCATTCACTAATATTTTAATGGCTTTAAAAGTAAATCTGGACAATGTGCATGATCAGATGATGAATTTCAATGGAAGGATTAAAACCTTAAGAGTTAAGTGAAAACACTGGAAACAAAAACAGAAACATGGTAACAGAAATGAAGGTTGCCTTTGATGGGCTCATTATGAGACTCAAGAATCAATGAACTTAAAACTGGATTAATAAAAATTACCTAAATTTATCACAATGAGAAAAGAAAAAGTGTTTTTTTAAAAAAGAATATCTGAGTCTTCTAGGACAATATCCAACACTTTAATGCATGTGAAATTGGAATCTCAGAGATGTTCAAAAATAATGAAGAAAATTTTCAGAAAATAATGAGAGACATCGAAACACAGATCAAAGGAGCTGAAAGAACCCCAAGCAGGATAACAGGATAAACATACACACACAGACACACACACACACACACACACACACTAGACACATTACATCTTACTCCAACAGTTGAAAACCAAAGATAAAGAGAAAATGCTAGAAGTATATAAAGATAAAAAAGATATTGCATACAAGAGGACAAAATATTATTAAAGTCAAAATTTTGTCAGACATGCAAATAGTAATAGTGGCAACTTTAAAGTGCTGAAAGAAAAAAAACTTTCAACATATATACAGAGAAAAGTATCTCTTAAAATGAAGAAGTAAGGTCCTTTCTAATCTAAGTACTGAGAAAGTTAATTACTTGCAATACAGGATATGTTAAAGGAAGTTATTTAGGCAAAAGGAGTATAATACAAAAAAGAAGCTTGAATCTATACAAAGTAATGAGGAAGTCTATAAATGGTTGAATAAAAGGAAATATAATAGAGTGCTTCTTATTCTAAGTGTTTTAAAAGATAGCTGACTGTCTAAAGCACAAAAAATAATTGCCATATGTTCTGAATTTCTATCATATGCAAAAGTAAAATATATGAAATTATTGGACAAAAGATGAGGGGAAGAGTTGAGAGTATACTATTATAAGATTCTTAAGCTACACGAGAAGAGATAATATTATTTGAAGATTGGCTGTAGTTAAAGATATATAATTTAAACACTAAAGCCACCAATAAAAGTTAAAAAGCGGTATAAATAATAACCAAGTACTATAAATAATTAAATATAAATATTAGTATAAATACTATGAAAATATAAGTAAATAACATAAGTAATATTTTTAAAATATAAATAATAAGGCAATAGTGGAGCTAAAATGAAATCATACAAGGCTCTCAAATAATCTGGAACAAAGGAAAGAAAAGGGAAATATGTAGTGTATTAGTCCGTTTTCACGTTGCTGATAAAGACATACCCAAGACTGGGCAATTTACAGAAGAAAGAGGTTTAATGGACCTACAGTTCCACGTGGCTAGGGAGGCCTCACAATCTTGGCAGAAGGCAAAAGGCACTTCTTACATGGCGGTGTCAAGAGAGAGAATGAGAGCCAAGTGAAAGGGGTTTCCCTTTATAAAACCATTAGATATTGTGAGACTTATTCACTACCACGAGAACAGTATGGGAGAAACCGCCCCCGTGATTCAGTTATCTCCCACCAGGTCCCTCCAACAACACATGGGAATTATGAGGGTACAATTCAAGATGAGATTTGGGTGCAAACACAGAGCCAAGCCATATCATGTAGGAAAGGATAGATGGAATAACAAGAAAGTAACTAATAAGATGGTAGACTTTAATACAAGCAAATCAACAATTACATTAAATGTAATGCATGCCAATTAATAGAGATTGCTAACTTGAATGGAACTGGAAAACATTATCCTGAGTGAAATAATTCGGGAACAGAAAACCAAATACTACATGTTCTCATTTATAAGTGGGAGCTATGAGTATGCAAAGATATAGAGAGTGGTATATGGGACATTGGAGAATCAGAAGGGGAGAGGGTAGGAGGATGGGAAGAAATGAAAAATTACCTACTGGGTACAATGTACACTATTGAGCTGAGGGGCATGCTAATACCCCAGACTTCACCACTAAACAATTTATCCATGTATCCAAAAAATATCTGTACCCCTAATGCTTTTGAAATTTTTAAAAATTATAAAATAAAATAAATTACCTCATAACAAATTTTTGAAATATAAGAGATTGCTAGACTGGATATTTTTTAAAAGGCCTACTTCTATGCTATTTTTAAGAAATTTAATTTGAATGTAGAGACCTAGACAGCTATAAGTCAAAAAATTGAAAAAAATATACTGTGCTAATATTAATTTTAAGGAAGCTGGAGTGGCTCTATGAATATCAAATAATATTGGCCTCAAAAAAGGGGTATTGCCACAAATAAAGTGGGGCATTACATAAGGATAAAGAGGTCACGTCACCACAAAGACATTAGCAATCCTAAATATGTGTGCACTACACAATACAGCTTCCAAATATACGAAGTAAAACTTGACAAAACTTAAAGAAGAAATAGGTTCATAGTGACAATTGGAGAGGTCAACATTCCTTATTTCAGCAACTGATTGAACTAGTAGACGTTGATTAGTAAAGGTATGTAAGACAGCAACAATACTATCTATCAAGCAGCACGTCCCAAATGAGATCTTTGGGACATTCTACCTAGCCACAGAGAACACGCTTTTTCAAGTGCACAAGAAATGTCCAACAAGATATCATAAGCCATGAAGCCGACCTCAGCAAATTTAAAAGAATTGAAGTTATATAACCTGTATACTTTCACTATAACTGAATTTAACTAGAAGTCAATAACAAAAAGATATGTGAAAAATGATCAAATATTTGGAAATTGCACAAATCCACAAGTAACATAGGAGTCAAGGAGGAAGTCATAAGGTGAATTAGAAAATATTTTGAGTTAAATGTCAATAAAAACATATTAATACTTTTGGCATATAGCTAAAGCAGTGCTTAGAGTGGAACTTACAGCATACAATGTTTCTATAAGAAAAAAGTTCTTAAAAGCTGCCTGTATTGGAAGACAGTTCAAAAAAGCATGTGTCTCTAAAGTCATCAGAAAGGACACATTTTACTGAAAGCAAGCATAATAAAAGCAATAACCAATAAAATTGAAAACACAAAACAATAAAGTCAATAAACCATAATTGTATTGTTAAGATTAATAAAATTAATAAATATGTATCCTGCCTAGCCAAGAAGAATATAGAGCACATATAAATGACAAATATCAGAAATAAAAAAGCAGTTATTGACACAGACTCTACAGACCTTAAAATGACAGTAAAGAAATATTACAAACAACTTTAGGCTGATAAATTCATCAACTGAGATAAAATGGATAATGAGATCTTTCTGTCTTGGAAAGGCCAACCGTTCATCCTCACATGAGAGTTTCCTGTTCTGGGTATGGGTTTTCTTTCTTGTCTGCAAACCTTTAGGCAGGACAACCATTGAGAGATTACAGACTTCCTGATCCACAGACTTTAATTCCCACACAACATAAACATCTGACTTGGTGTCCCCTCTGGAATGAACCATGTTACCTATTTGTCTTATCACTTAACTGTACTCTATGGTTTGAAAAGAAAAAAAATTCCATTGAACTGATAGATAAAGTGATGCTGTGGAGATATTACTTTATGTGGATGAGATGCCATCTTCTAGGATTCACTATATGCATTGATTCAGAGCCTTGTATATGGTGCTGTGTCCTTAATAAGAATAAAACATGTATAGAGGATTCGAGTATCACTTATTGTTCTTCCTGATGACCCACTGGAGGACTTGCGCTTCTATTCTTACACATTTGTGTCCTTTGGAGTTAGAGTTCATGGTTCTACTCTTGCCATACGACACATTAAAATACAAGCTATGGCTGCTGCTGGCCACTTTGAATTCCATCTTGGCAGAGGTAATTGATCCTCATAGGAAGCAGTAGTAGGACTATTTTTACATAATGGAGACTAGGAAGAATATGTGTGTAAATCTACTGTGTATTTTCTGGTACTCAAGTGCTTATTTATATCAATGAATGAACACTTGTGGCAGCCTTGGCCTAAGAAGTATATGAATAGCAAAGGCTTAGACCCTCAGAAAATAAATATTTGGTTTACACCATCAGATAAGCCAATGAGATCTGTAGAGATGACAGTTGTTGAATGTACAGTTGAAGAGAAAAAGCAAGAATTTCATTCGTGACTGTGAAATTAACTGCAGTGATGTGATGGGAGATACGTAGTTCATTTCCACTGACCTCCCTCTTCTGACTGAATAGAAGTCCGTGAAGGTCACTTAGAAGTTATTTTCCAAACATGCAATGGAAAGTGTATCTCTGTGACTAAACAAGTGGACTGTGGTGGCCATAGTAGAGCACGACTCAGATTGTCCTCTGAAAAAACCTGCTGTAGAAAGCATATTTGACTAGTCGTGTCCAGTTGCTGCACCTCTGGATTTGCTATGCTACTCTCATTAAAGCCATTTCTCCAAGACTGCACCTAGCCAATGACTGAGCATGAAAGGGATACTAGAGGCAGACTTCTTCTGTACAACCTGGGATTTTTCTATGAAAAACTCCCCACTGACTTGACTGATAATGTCTCAGAACTCCACTTCCATCTGAAGGTCTTCCTAACCAGTCCTTCTCCTTGCTTTTCTTCTATCAGAAATGTCAGACTTGTGTTACTGTCTCAGGGCTCCTCCCACCTATTTCTGCTCCCACCTTTTACATCCTTTGCAATTGTATTCACCAATATGTGTCTTACACATCTAATCCCATCTTGAAGTGTGATTTTTGGAGGTCCTGAGCAGATATATCAGGCTTTAAAAGATCTGGACGTTACTATTTATGATGGTTAATTGTGTGTGTAAACTTGAGGGGGCTAAGGGATGCCAAAATACCTGGCAGAACATTATTTCTGAGTATATCTGTGAGAGTGTTTCTGGAAGACATTAGTATTTTTCTTGGTAAACTAAGTAAAGAAGATTGCTGTCCCCAGTGTGAGTGGACATTATCCAATCAATTGAGGGTTTAAATAAAACACAAATGTGAAGAAAGGATGAATTTACTCTCTCTTCTTAAGCTGGACGTTCGTCTTCTCCTGCCACAGACATTAGCCCTCCTGGTTCTTAAGTCTTTGAACTCAGACTTATTAATTAATGGAAATTAATATCATTGGCATGGCTGGATCTCAGGTCTTTGGGTGTGGAGTGGCATTGCACTACTGGCTTTTCTTGACCTCCAGCTTGCAGACAGCAGACTGTGGGAATCCTCAGCATTCATAATAGCATGATCCAGTCTCTCGTAGTAAATATCTTTTTATCTATCTGTCTATCTATCTATCTATCTATCTGTCATCTTTCTATCTATCATCTATCTATCTTCTATCATTCTGTTTCTCTGAAGAATCCTAACTAACACAACATTTAAATTAAATAACAGATAAAGTGGCTGGAACAATGCTTGGCATATAGTAGGCACTTGATACTTCATTCCTTCTCACTCAGCAAATGTTTGCTAATTGTTTATTGTGGGCTATGTATTCTATGGGGCACTATGGATACAACAGTAAAAAAGATAAAAACAATCCATCCCTACTACCATAGAGATCCCAGTTTAGTAGAGTATACAGAAAAAATACATAGTCAATTACAATGAATGCTATACTTGTTATGGCAAGAAAAGGCAGGATACTCTGGGAGCAGAAAACAGAACACCTGACCCCAAGCTTATGAGCCAGGACCAACTTTCCAGGAGAAGTGGTATCTAAGCTCTACCCAGAAGCATGTTAGCAATGTGAAGAGAATGAGGAAAGCTAATCTGTACACAGAAAATTGAGCTTATACAAAAATTTCATGGTATCCAATCAATTGAAGGTTCAAATAAAACATAAACACAAATCCTTTGAAATGTAAAGCTCTTTAAACTATCAGACTGAACCGGAACCTATGTGGACAATCATCTTAACAGCATTAGCAATTGCATTTATTAGCTCTTCAAATCATTAGAAATTTCTTTGAAAAGCTGACCCTGCTCTCGCCCATACATACCTAAAACTTCCTCCCTTTCTCCAGAAACAGAGATGAAGTGTGCCATTTCCTTAGCCCTCTTGCAGACATTTCCAGATGGGACTCATCCAATATACTATATATTAAAAATATTACAGCTGCATTTTTGGAGAAAATAAATCTCAGTATCATAGTGGGGAAACTTTCAGTCTTTCACCAATAAGTATAATTGAATTTCAAAATTATTGATTTTTTAGATACCTGTGGTTATTGTCTTCTAGTTTAATTTCACTGTTGTCAAAGAATACATTTTTTACAAATTCAGTAATTTTACATTTGCTCATATATGTTTTATGACACATAATATGATCTGTCATAGTGACTTCCATATACACTTGAAGAGAATATTTATTCTACTTCTTAAGAGTTGAGTGTTTCATATATTTTAGATCAAATTCATTGATAGTTGAGTTCAGGTCCTTTACATACACATTAGTTTTCTGTCTACTACCTCTGTTACTTTCTTAGGAATACTGGAGTTTCACATATGACTGTTGAATTGTCTATTTCTTCTATCAATTCTGTCATCTTTTGTTTCTTATATCTTGGGGCTCTACTTTTAGATATATGTAAGTGTATAATTCTCATATATTCTTGATGAATTGATACTTTTACCATTATAAAATTCACTTATTTAGCACTAACATTTCTTTTTGATTTTGTCAGATTTTTAAAATTTTATTTTCATTTATTTATTTTTAATTTTTGTGAGTATATGGTACATGTATAGAGCCATGGGGTATGATATGGTTAGGCTTTTTGTCCCCACCCAAATCTCATAATCCTCATAATGGCCATGTGTTAATGGGGAGACCAGGTGGAGGTAATTTAATCATGGAGGCAGTTTCCCCCATGCCGTTCTTGTGAATAGTGAGCGAGTTTTCATGAGATCTGATGGTTTTATAAGGGGTTCTTCCCTACTTGCTCAGCATTTCTCTGTCCTGCTGCCTTGTGAAGAAGGCATTTTGCTTCCCATTCACCTTCTGCCATGATTGTAAGTTTCCTGAGGCCTCCCCAGCTGTGTTGAAATGTGAGTTAATTAAAACTTTGTTCTTTTTAAATTAACCAGTCTCAGGCAATTGTTTATACCAGTATTAAAATGGACTAATACAATAAATTGGTACCCATTTTCTGGGAAGAAACTCAAGCCTGCTGCAGAAATCTGCATAAGTAATGAGGAGCCAAATGTTAATCACCAAGTCAATGGGAAAAATGTCTCCAGGGCATGTTAGAAGTCTTCACAGCATTGCCTCCCAGTGGAGGCCCAGAGGCCTAGGAGAAAAAAAAAAAATGGTTTTATGGGCCTGGGCCAAGGCCTTGCTGCTTTGTGCAATTTCAAGACTTGGTGCCCTGCAAACCAGCTGTGGCTAAAAGGGGCTAATATCCAGCTCAAGCCATTGCTCCAGAGGGTGCAAGACCCAAGCCTTGGTGGCGTACATGTGGTATTGGGCCTGCGGGTGCACAGAAGTCAAGAATTGAGGTTTGGGAATATGTGCCGAGATTTCAGAGGTTGTATGGAAATACCTGGATGTCCAGGCAGAAGTTTGTTGTAGGGGTGGAACGCTCATTGAGACCCTCTCCTAGGGCGGTGCAGAAGGAAGATGTGAGGTCAGAGTCCCCACACAGAGTCCCCAGTGGAGCACTGCCTAGTGGAGCTGTGAGAAGAGGGTCACTGTCTTCCAGACCCCAGAATGGTAGATCCACTGACAGCTTGCAACATGCACCTGGAAAATCTGTAGACATTCAATGCCAGCCTGTGAAAGCAGCCAGGAGGGAGGCTATACCTTGCACAGCTACACAGGTGGAGCTGCTGAAGTTCATGGGACCCCACCTCTTGCATCAGCATGAGCTGGATGTGAGACATGGAGTCAAAGGTGATAATTTTGAAGCTTTAAGATTTCACTGCCTCACTGAATTTTGGACTTGCATGGGGCCTGTAGCTCCTTTGTTTTGGCCAATTTCTCCCATTTGGAATGGGCATATTTACCCAATGTCTGTACCCCCATTGTATCAAGGAAGTTACTAACTTGCTTTGTTTTTATAGGCTCATAGTCAGAAGGGACGTGCCTTGCCTCAGATGAGACTTTGGATTTGGATTTTTGGGTTAATGGTGGACCAAGTTTAAACTTTGGGAAACTGTGGGAAGGCATGATTGTGTTTTGAAATGTGAAAGGGACATGAGATTTGGGAGGGGCCGGGGTGAAATGATATGGTTAGGCTTTGTGTCTTTACCCAAATCCCATCTTGAATTGTAATCCCCCTCATCCCCATGTGTCAAGGGAGAGAGGAGGTGGAGGTAATTGAATCATGGGGGCAGTTACCCCCATGCTGCTGTTCTCATGATAGTGTGTGAGTTCTCACAAGATCTCATGGTTTTATAAGGGGCTCTTCCCTCTTCACTCCTCACTCTTCTCTCTCCTGCTGCTATGTGAAGAAGGTCCTTGCTTCCCTCTCTGCCTTGATGGTAAGTTTTCTGAGGCCTCTCCAGCCATGGTGGACTGTGAGTCAATTAAATATTTTTCTTTTATAAATTACCCAGTCTTGGACAGTTCTTTATAGCAGTATGAAAACAAACTAATAGAGGGTACACGAGATGATTTGATGCATGCAATGTGAAATAATTTCATCATGGAGAATGGGGTTCTCATCCCCTCAAGGAATTATAGGTTGCATTATGAACAATCCAATTACTCTCTTTTAGTTATTTTAAAATGTAAAAGTAATTTATTATTGACTATAGCCACCCTGTTGTGCTATTAAATACAAGATATTATTCACTCTTTCTAACTATTATTTTGTATTCATTAACCATCCCCACCTCACTCCCTGCCCCTACTATCATTCCCAATCTCTGGTAACCATCCTTCTATTCTCTATATCTATGAGTTCATTTTTTTTTTATCCCACATAAGTGAGAACATGTGATATTGTTTGTTCTGTGCCTGGCTTATTTTACTTAACATGATGACCAACAGTTCCATCCATGTTGTTGCAAATGACAGAATCACGATACTCTTTATGACTGAATAGTACTCCACTATGTATATGCACCACATTTTCTTTATCCATCCATCTCTTGAGGGATATAAGTTGATTCCAAATCTTAACTCTTGTAAGCAGTGCTGCAATAAACATGGCAGTACAGCTATCTCTGTAATATACTGATTTTCTTTCTTTGGGGTACATACCCAGAACTGGGATTGCTGGATCATATGGTAGTTCAATTTTTAGTTTTTGAGAAACCTCCAAACTCTTCTCCATAGTGGTTGTGTTAATTTCCATTCCCTCCAACAGTGTACAAAGGTTCTCTTTTCTCCACATCCTTGCCAGTATTTGTTGTTGCCTGTCTTTTGGATATAAGCTATTTTAGCTGGAGGGTGACATATCTCATTGTAGTTTGATTTACATTTATCTGATGATCAGTGATGTTGAGAACCTTTTCATATGCCTGTTTGCCAGTTGTATGTTTTCTTTTGAGAAATGTCTGTTCAAATCTTTTGCCTATTTGTTGATGGGATTATTAGATTATCTTCTATACAGTTGTTTGAGCTCCTTATATATTCTTGTTATTAATCCTTTATCAGATGCATAGTTTCAAATATTTTCTCCCATTTTATGGATTCTGTTTTCACTTCATCGATTACATTCTTTGCTGTGTAGAAGCTTTTTAACTTAATGTAATCCCATTTGTCCACTTTTTGTTTGGTTGCCTGTGCTTATGGAGTATTTTTCAATAAACTTTTGCTCAGACTAATGTCCTGGAGGTTTTCCTAAAAGTTTTCTTGTAGGAGTTTCATAGTTTAAGGTCTTAGATTTGAGTCTTAAATCTATTTTGATTTCATTTTTGTATATGGTGAGAGATAGGGGTCTAGTTTTATTTTCCTGTATATGGATATCCAGTTTTCCCAGTACCATTTATTAAAGAGACTGTCATTTCCTCAGTGTATGTTCTTGGTACCTTTGTTAAAAATGAGTTTACTGTAAGTGTGTGGATTTCTTTCTGGGTTCTCTGTCCTTTTTTTTTATTTTTTTATTTTTTTTTGAGACGGAGTCTCGCTCTGTCGCCCAGGCTGGAGTGCAGTGGCATGATCTCGGCTCACTGCAAGCTCTACCTTCACACCATTCTCCTGCCTCAGCCTCCCGAGTAGCTGGGACTACAGGTGCCAACCACCACGCCCAGCTAATTTTTTGTATTTTTAGTAGAGACGGGGTTTCACCGTGTTAGCCAGGATGGTCTCAATCTCCTGACCTCGTGATCTGTCCACCTCGGCCTCCCAAAGTGCTGGGATTACAGACGTGAGCCACCGCACCCCGCCAGGTTCTCTGTTCTTTTCCACTGGTCTATGTTTCTGTCTTTATGCCAGTACCATTGTGTTTGGGTTACTATAGCTCTGAAGTCAGGTAATGTAATCCCTCCTTTTGTTCTTTTTGCTTAGGATAGCTTTGGCTATTCTGGGTCTTTTGTGGTTCCATATAAATTTTGGGTTATTTTATTTCTTTGAAGAATGTAATTGATATTTTGATAGGGATTGCATTGAACTTATAGATTGCTTTAGGTAGCATGGAAATTTTAACAATGTTGATTCTTCCAATCCATGAACATGTAAATATCTTTCCATTTTTTTTGGCGTCCTCTTCAATTTATTTCATCCATGTTTTATAGTTTTTATTATATGGAGATCTTTCACTTCTTTGGTTAATTCCTAAGAATTTAATTTTCTTTGTGGCTTCTATAAATGGGGTTACATTTTATTTCTTCTTCAGATTGTTCACTGTTAGCATATAGAAATACTACTGATTTTGGTGTGTTTATTTTGTAACCTGAAACTTCACTGAACTTTGTTTATGAGTTCTAATAGGTTTTTGTGGCGTCTATAGGCTTTTTCAATATAAGATCATATCATTGGCAAACAAAATAATTTGACTTTTTCTCTACAATTTGGATGCCCTGTATGTCCTTTTCTTGTCTGACTGCTCTAGCTAGGACTTCCAATACTGTGCTGAATAATAGTGGTTAAAGTGGGCATACTTGTCTTGTTTCAGACCTTAGAAGAAAAGTTTTCATATTTTCTCCATTCAGTGGGATGTCAGCTGTGGGTGTGTCATATATGGCTTTGGTTATGTTGAAGTATGTTTCTACTATACCCACTTTGCTGAGGGTTTTTGTCAGGAAGTAATGTTAAATTTTTTCAAATGCTTTTTCAGCATCAATTGAAATAATCATATGGTTTATATCCTTCATTCTGTTAATATGTTGTATCGCATTGGATTTATTTGCATATATTGAACCATCTTTGCCTCCCAAGGGGAAATCCCACTGTCATGATGAATAATCTTTCTAATATATTGTTCAATTTGATTCACTATTATTTTGTTGATAATTTTTGCATCAATATTAATCAGAAAGACTGGCCTGAAGTTTTCTTTTTTCGATGTATTTTTGTCAGTTTTTGATATCAGGGTAATACTGGTCTCACAGAACGAGTTTGGAAGTATTTCCTCCTTCTCTGTTTTTCGGAACAGTATGAGTAAGATTGGTATTAGATTTTTTTTTATGTTTGGCAGTGTTCAGCAGTGTAACCTTCAGGCTTTTCTTTACTGGGGGATTTTTGTTATGTCTTCAATATCATTACTTGTTATTGGTCTCTTTCAGTTTTTAATTTTTTCTTAGTTCAATATTGGTATGTTGCGTGTGTCTAGGAATTTGTCCATTGCTTTTAGATGTCTTCAATTAACTGACAATATAGTTTCTAATAGTAGCCACTAATGATCCTTTCAATTACTGTTGTATAAGTTGCAATGTCTTCTTTTTCATTTCTGATTTTATTTATTTGTATCTTCTCTCTTTTTTTCTTAGTGTGGCTGTTTGTCAATTTTATTTTTTCAAAAAAAAATTTTGTTTCATTGATCTTTGATATTGTTTTCTTCATGTCAAATTCATTTATTTCTTCACTAATCTTTATAATTTCTTTTCTTATAATTTTTGGGTTGGTTTGTTCTTGCTTTTCTAGGTTTTTAAAATGCATCATTTGATTGTTTATTTAAAGTTTTCCCTCTGTTTTATGTAGGCACTTACAGCTATAAACTTCCCTCTTACTACTGCTTTTGCTGTATACCATAGGTTATGGTATGTTGTGTTTTCATTATTATTTGCTTCAAGAAACTTTTCAAATTCTTCTTAATTTTTTCATTGACCCAGTGATCATTCAGGAGCATAATGTTTAATTTCCATGTGTTTGTATAGTTTCCAAAATTCCTCCCATTATTGATTTTTAGTTTTATTCCATTCGGGTCAGGGAACATGCTTGATATTATATAATTATTTTGAATGATTTATGACTTTTTTATGACCTAATATACGGTCTATTCTTGAGAATTATCCATGTGCTGGGGAAAAAATTCTGTGTTCTTCAGCCACTGGATGAAATATTCTGTAAATATCTATCAGGTGCATTTGTTTTACAGTACATATCAAGTTCGATGTTTGTTGATTTTCTGTCCCAGAGATATGTCTAATGCTGAAAGTGAGGTGTTAAAGTCTCTAACTATTATTGTATTGGGGCCTGTTTCTCTCTTTAGCTCTAATAATATTTGCTATGTATAGCTTGATGCTCCAGTGTTAGGTGCATGTATATTTAAAATTGTCGTATCATTTAGATGAATTGACTTCTTTATTAATATATAATGACCTACTTTTTTTTTATAATGACCTACTTTGTCTCTTATAATTTTTGTCTTGAAATCTACTTTTTCTGCTATAAGGATACCTACACCTGATTTTTTTGGTTTCCATTGGGATGGAATATCTTTTTTCATCCCTTTATTTTCAGTTAATATGTGTCTTTATAGTTGAGGTGTGTTTCTTATAGGGAAAAGATCAATGGGTCTTGTTTTTCCATGTGTTCAGAAACTTTATGGGTTTTGATTGTATAGTCCATTCCCTTTACATTCGGTGTTATTATTGATAAGTGTAGAATTACTCCTACCGTGTTGTTACTTGTTTTCTGGTAGTTTTGTAGGCTTCTCTTTCCTCAATGTTTCTCCCTGTCTTCCTTTAGAGCAGGTGATTTTCTCAGGTAATATGATTTACTTTATTGCTTTTTATTTTTTGTGCATCCTTTGTATGTTTTTTATTTTGAGGTTACTATGAGACTTGCAAATACTACCTTATAACCCATTACTTAAAACTGATAACAACTGAACACTCTTTACATAATCAAAAAACAAGCAAAAATGAAACTGTTAAATTCTATACACCTTTACTTTATCTCCCCGCATTTTAACTTTTTGTTGTTCCTATTTATATCTTATCGGGTTGTCCATGTTTTGCAAAGTTGTTGTACTTACTATTTTTGATTTGTTCATTATTTAGTCTTTCTACTCAGGATAAGTGTTGTTTACACATCACAGTTACAGTTTCATAATACTCAGTGTTTTTCTGTGTACTTACTATATTCTTAGTGAGTTTTGTAGTGTCAGATGATTACTCATCGGACGTTAACATCCTTTTCTTTCTAATTTTCTTTCTAATTTCTAATGTGTATTTTTTTCTTTCAGTTCTATCAGTTTTGTGTTATACAATTTGAAGTTTTGTTCCTTTATGGGTGTATATTTAGCACATTTAGGTCGTTGTGGTGAATTGCCACTTTTAACATTAAAGAATCTCTCTGTTCCTGATAGTTTTCTTTGCTATGAAGCCTATTTTATCTGACACTAATGTAGCCACATTGTTTTCTTTTGATTAATGTTTGAAAGATGTAGATTATCTTCACTGTTCACTTTCAATCAACTTATATAATTACATATAAGTGAGTGTCTTGTGGACTAAATATAATCAAATCACCTTTTGTCTATCCTATAAATTTCTGTCTTTTAATGGGTATATTTAGATCATTTATATTTAAAGTAATTATTGAAATGCTACAGCTTAAGACTAACATTTGTTTTGTTGTTGTGGTTTCATTTTTGCCCCTCTATTTTTCCTTATTGCCTTACTGAGTCAATTCAACATTTTCTTAAAAATCCATTTTGATTCATCTAGTATTTTTGAGGACATCTCATTATATAAATTATTAGTGCTTGTGGTATGTATGACACTGTAGACATGTAATTTATTACAACGTATTGTTGTCTGTATTTACGACCTTGAATAAAATGTCACCATTTAGTTCCCCTTACATTCTTCCCTTTGTAATAAAATTGTTTTGAACAGTAGACATGTTCTCCACATGCACTTTGAATAAGATTATATATTTTAATTTTCACTTAAAAATCAAACATAATATAAAACTCAATAGAAGATAAATAGGCTATTATATTTACCCATTCACTTGTGCTTATTTCCTTCCTAATATTCTTAATGTCCTTATTTAAAAATCATTTTCTTTCTGTTTAAAGAACTTTTCCTTTAGCCATTCATTCCTAAAGTTCATTTCCCATCTGAAACCATGGAGGCCAAAAGAAAGTAGCATAACATTTTTCAAGTGCTGAAATAAAAAAAAAATTGCTGGCCCAGAATAACATATCCAGTGAAACTATCCTTTGTAAATGAAGGGATATCAAGACCTTGTCAGATGAAGAAAAGCTAAGAGAATGTGTGACTACTAAACCACTTTAAAGTGGTTAAAAAATTATCTAAACATAAGGAAAATCACTAAATAAGAAATATTGGACAATTAAAAAGTAAAGAAAAATGAACACAGTAAGAACAAAAATTGGATGAATACAAAAGACTTTCTTATCCTTTTGAGTTTTCTAAATTATGGTTGATGGTTGAAGCAAAATTGGTAACACTGTCTACTGTGATTCACAATGTATGTATTTAGAGAAAGCATTTAAAATAATTTTATTATAAATGGTGGAAGGTAAAGGGACATTAAGGGTGGTAAGGTCTCTATACTTCACTAGAACTGGCAAAAATGTTGGCACCAGTAGACTTCAATAAGTTTCATATATACATATGAAAGTCTATAAAAGTATCACACTATACAAGAAGATGTGTGTATATATATATATATATATATAATCTATATATAGATATATAGTGTGATACTATATGTATAGTGTGATACTTATAGCGACTATAAAAACGTTACATGAAATGATACATCCTCAATAGTATAAACAAAAATGAAATTCTAGATAATCTTCAAGTAACACTTAGGAAGGCAGAAAAAAATAAGCAGAGAATTGAAAAACACAGATCACAAATAGCAACCAAAAAATTAAATGGAAGAAAGCCTTGATATATCAATGATTTCTCAAATGGCAGTGGTTAAAATAAACCAATTAAAACACAGAGATTCAGAGTTGATTAAGAGAGAAACATGACCCAATTGTATGCTGTCCATAAGAAACTCACTTCAAATATAATGACATAGGCAGGTTGAAATAAAAGAATAAAAACCAATATAATCAAAAGAAAGCAGGTATACTAAATCAAGTAGACTTTAAAGAAAATGTTATCACCAAGGATAGAAGAGACATTCTAAATGTGTATGCACCAAAAAACATTGAAATGAGAAATTGAAGAATCCATTACTATAGTATGAGACTTTAACTCTCTCAAAAATTAATAGAACAACTAGACAGAAAAATCATTAAAGATATAGAAAATATTCAGCTCCAGTCAACCAATAGGATCTAACAGGTATCTATAAAATACCCAACAGCAACAGAACATATTGTTTTTCGAAATGCCCACAGATCATACAACAATTTCAGGATACACGGTCAACTCAGAAAGCTCAATTGTATTTCTCTATACTATCAATAATTTGTCAAAAGAAAAAAATTAAAAATATAACACCATTTACAATTGTTCGCAAAAAAGAAATACTTATGTATACATTTTTTAAAATGTATAAGACTTGTATGTTGAAATAAGTGGAGACATATTCAGTGTTTATCAACATGGCAAAGATGTAAATTATTTAAATTGTCTATATTGAACTATAGATGAAAATTAAAGTGGCGGTTTAATGCAATTTTATCAAAATTTCAGCAAGTTTTTTATGTAGATACAATAATATCCTAAAGTTTATGTGGAAAGATGAAGTAAATATAACAGCTGAAACAATTCTAAAACTAAATAAGTTTGCAGGAATATTCTGCCTAATTTCAGGACTTATGATATAGCTACAGTAATCAATAATCTATAGTATTGGTACAGGACTAGGCATATAGATCAATAGAACAAAATACAAAATCTGAAAGTAGACCCCTGAAAATATGCCAACTGGTTTTGACAAGAGTGAAAAATAGCAATTTCATAGACTGCCTTTCCAACAATGGTGCTGGAATATATTGTTTTCATCCATAGATTGAAAACAAAATTAACCTCAACCTAAACCTTGCAACTTATATAAATTAAATAAAAGTAGATCATTGATTTGAATGTAAAATTATAAAACATTAGATGACAAAAAAAATTTAGGATCTGGAGGTGAGTAAACAGTTCCTAGAGTTGACATAAAATAACATTATTTATAAAAGAAAGTGCATGTCATCAAAATTAATAACTTTTACTCAGCCCATTGTGGTGGCTAACACCAGTAATCCTAGCACTTTGGGAGGCCAAGGTGGGCGGGACACTTGAGCCCAAGAGTTCAAAACCAGCCTGGGCAACATAGAAAGACCCCATTTCTACAAAAAAAATTTTTTTTAATTGGCCAGATGTGGTGGCTCATGCCTCTAGTCCCAGATATTCGGGGGCTGAGTCAGGAGGATTGCTTGAGTCAAGGAGGTAGAGGCTACAGTGAGCTGTGATTGTGCCACTGCACTGCAGCCTGGGTGACAGACTGAGACCCTGTCCCACACACAAAAAAAAATAATAATGCTGTATGAATAAAAGACCTGTGATGGGAATGAAAAGACAAGTTAGAGATTGAATGAAAACATTTGTAATCTACATACCTGACAAAGTACTTGTATCAAGATTATAAGAAAAAAACTCTCAAACTCAACAGAAAAATGACAAACTGTTTAAATAGAAAATAGCCAAAAAAACAAGAAGAGGCATTTTACAAAAGAAGTTATAAAGATGGTCTATTAGTCCATTCTCACACTGCTATGAAGAAATACCTGAGATTAGCTGATTTATAAAGAAAAAAGGCTTAATTGACTTCAGTTCCACATTGCTGGGGAGGCCTATGGAAACTTAGAATCGTGGCAGAAGGTACCTCTTCACAGGACAGCAGGACAGGGTGAGTGCAGAGACCTTGACACGTGGGGATTATTACAATTTAAAGTGAGATTTGGGTGGGGACACATAGCCAAACCATATCAGATGGCAAATAAGCACATGAAAATATGCATATCACTAGCTTTTAGGAAAATGCAATTTAAAATGAACATAAAATATCGCTATACACTGAAGGGCTAAACTTTTAAAAATAACCATGCCAATTACCAAATACTGTTGAGGATGCAAAGAAACTGAATATCCCAAACATTGCTGGTGGGAATGTAAAATGCTATAGCCATTCTGAAAAATAATTAGGCAGTTTCTTAAAACCATTAAACATATAGTTACTATGTGGTTACACACTCAAGACATTTATCCTGAAGAAATAAATTTTGTCCACACAAAAAATATGTAGATAAATGTTCCTAGCATCTTTATTTATGGTAGCCTCAAATCAGGAAAAATGCAAATATCCATCAATGAGTGAATGGCTAAACACACTGTGGCACAACCATATCATGGAATAAAATCAGCAAAAAGAAACAGATTATTGATACAACCACTAGGATGAATCCCAAGGACAACTTGCTGAGCGAAAAGAAGCCAATCTCAAAAGGTCTGTGGTATAATAAAAATGCATACAGTATTTCACTTTTGTCTCACATTCCTGGCAAAAAGCCTCCAAAACCCTTGGAATTTCCTGAGTAATAGGAGTGTCTTTTGTCATTCATAATGAGCCCTTTTCTATCACACCTTAGTTCAGGAGAATGAGATGACTTGTGTGGGGCCTCTGAATAGGCTTAGGAGGGGACTGGTCACCAGACAGACCAAGTGATAATAGGGGTGGTATTTTCAACCACAGACAGGGCTCTCCAGAGGGGAAAGGGGAAGCTGGAGATTGAGCTCTAAAAAAACCTCTTGAACGATGAGATTCAGAGAACTTACAGGTTGGTAGGATGACATGGGAGTTCTGTCCCCCACCACCTATCTTGCTCTATGTATCTCTTATATTTAGCTATTCCTGGGTTGTATTCTTTATAATAAGCTGATAAACATAAGTAAAGTGGTTTCCTGAATTCTGTGAGCTGATGGAACAAATCATTGAATCACTGAGGGAGGATATGAGAACCTCCAAACTTCTATTCTGCTTGGCAGAAGTGTGGGTAGTCTGGGCACTCCTTTCATGGCTGGCATGTGAATTGAGTGCAGTGTTGTTGGACTGAGCCCTTTAATTTGTAACATCTGACACTAATTCCAGGTAAATAGTATCAGAATTGAATTGCTTGATATCCACTTGTTGAGAATTACAGATATCTCATACTGCATTATTCCATTTACATAACATTCTCAAATGAAAAATATATGGAGATGGGAAAACGCTAGTGGTTGGCAGGGTTTAGGAATGGTGAAGATAAGGAGTGGTTGTGACTATAAATTGTCAGCATGAGGTAGATTTTCGTGGTGACTGAATAGTTCTATATTTTGATGTTGTCATGGACACTATACAAATCTATGCATGTGATAAAATGACAAAGTACCAATGTTCACACCGCATACAAATGCTAATTTCCAAGTTTTTATATCGTACTATAATTATGTATGATGTAACCATTGAGGGAAATTGTTTGAAGGCTGAACAGGACTTCTCTGCACTACTGTAGTATCTTTGCAACTTCCTGTGACTCTATAATAATTTTAAAATGAAAAGTTAAAAAAATCCCTGATAATCACCATTGACTCCTCCATCACCCTTTCCATCATTGACGTTTAATTACCAAACCTTATTGATGTCCATTATTTGTATATATTTTTTCTCCATCCTCACTGCTACTGCCTCAATACAGGCTACCATAATTTCTTCCCTGAATTTTTACCATAACTTTCTAACTGGGCTCCAGGCTTCCATTCAAGCCCCCTCTCCAAACCAATTTTCATTCCTTTGAATTGGTATTCAAAAAATATGTATATCGTCATGGCATACCCACGTCTTCATAAATCTTGCAGGTTCCTCGTCATCTGCAGTATAAAGTGTCAATTCCTTAGTATGGCTTTTAAGGTGTCTCACAGCTGCCTTTTAAGCCTGATTTCCCACTCCACTGCACAACAGTTCCTTTGTTACTGCCATACCAGCCTCATCAGCCTTTCATATTAATAGCCCACACGTTTGCTCAGACTATCACCTTTGCGTGGATTGTCCTACTTTTTCTCGCACAGGCATGCTGAAAATCCATCCAGATTTCAGCTTCTGGCTTAAATATGTCATTCTCCATAATGCTTTCCTTGGTTACACTAATTTTAATTTCTTTTACAAATTTTCATTCAATTTATGTGTTTCTTCGGTACATAAAAATGAATATATACTAGGTGCCGTTCTGTAGTCTAGAAATAGTAAAACACATATGTTCTCTAAGTCAAATGAATTTTTTTGTATTTTAAAATTTACTTATAATCTGCTCCATTTCACAAAGGATACTTAAGCAGTTATATAAACGCATTTATTGAAAAAATATCAAAATATTGTAGTTTTAACAAATGAACCATTTGATTAGAACAGTAATACTAGTAAGGATAAAATTAATATATGAAGTGAGTTGACTTCAGAACTCTGATAATAAAAGGTGGTTTCCAACTTTGATGACTTTTACTATAATTTTCGCTGGAAATGCTTCATACAGATGTTAACAATTAAATTATAATGCAATCTGGTAAAGGTTCTAATAGAGTTATGTAAAAGAAGAGAAGCCAGAGGTGGTGACTTACTGCCTATGAAAATCAGGATGTGTTTCTGTTCATTGATGGTTGAATTTTAGTTGGCGAATAGTGGAAATGGGCAGTGACTTTAAAAACAGAGGGAATGACATGGATAATGGCACAGAGTTAAGAAAGGGCAGAGCCTATTTGAGAATAGGACAAATATTAGTGTATCATGAGTATAGGGTACAAATAGGTAAAGTGATTGGTATGGTTGGATTTGAAACCAGAAAGAGGTTTACTCCTCATTGTCACCCCCTTGTATACCAGGTAAGGAGGTTTTGTTCTACCATTTAGTATTTGTATAAGCTGTGTTTTAACTCTATGATCTCATTTCTAACAGTCTCCTGTATTATATTTAGTTGAATTCATGTTTTCCTTTCCTCACACATTGCTTTTGAGATATTCAAAAACAATGAACATTTCTTGTTGATCTTTGCATATCCAACACTTAAAACCTATCGATTATGCATATAATCTGTGCTTGTTGACTGGCTGAAGCAGAGATCTCTAGTCAGGTAGAACAAAGGGATCCCATCGTTCTCTCCCACTTTGTTTATAAGCATTTTCTTTTACTGCCTCTGATTCAGGAATACCATCTGCCTGCATTTGTGATGGTAGATAGTAGTAGTAACATAATAAGCATCTTCATCTGTGCTGCAAAACTTCCAGCTCTGCTGTGTCACAAGGTATTAATAACATGATCCTGGTAGTTGCTATGGTAAAGAAAGGTTTCCTGCTGCAAAGCTCGTTTTTGAAACTATTTTTACAGATGACTCAGAAACTGAAATTAAATGTTTATAACCATTCATTGTATTGTAGAAGTAAAAGTGTCCATATAGATCTTCTAGTCCAGCCATCCAATATTTTGAATTTGAAACTGTGTGCAAATGAGGAAAAAAAAATAATAATAAAACAACCTCTCCTGAGTTCACACATTTAGATATTCTGATTTAGAACCCAATCCGAGGACTTTTAACACTGTCAGTTTCTTTTTATCTTTAACAAAAAGCTCTTTGTTTCTTCCACACCTTGAGGGGAAAGTATTGCACTTGAGATGTCACGCTACTAATATTCTTCTAACCAGTGAATCAAAGTTCCAAAGAATATAGTTTTTCAATTGGCTGAATGACATTCAAGTCAAAATTTTATAATCTTCCCCCTTAATTTTATGAAAATAATTGAAAAGTATCAGTAAATAGGAATTCATATCACTTCAGAAAAATACATTCTCCAACTTTTACTACCTATGTAAAGTTATATGTGTATGTATATGAGCATGATTTTGTATTAATACTTCCCCCTAGTTAAAAAATTTAAAAGTATCAAATTGTGTATTTTTAAACATGTATTATTATTTCCAGAAAAAAGCTTGATTTATGGCAAGTGATACCCTGTGCAAGAAAAAAAAATTGCCTGACTTAAAACTAGGGGGAAGAATTCTAATTAAATTATTTTTAGAAATGCTGAAGGAAAGAAAGGAGGTATTGAAGGTTGGTAGTAGAGTTCCTTAGAACCGAACCTTAGATTTGGGGAGAAGGGGGCATATATAGAGTTTATTATTTCAATAAATATTTTTGAGTAGTAATTGTGTATCAGAAGTGATGCTAATCTATTACAGTATAATGATATTTATAGAGGAGTGGTTTCAGGAAGATGCAAGTTAAATTTGGATAGAAATAACTTGACAATCAGAGAACTGAGTGTCTGAATCTGTTCCTGCTGCCATAACAAAATACCTTAGACTGAGTAATTATTTATAAATGACAGAATGTATGTCTTACAATTCTAGAGGCTAAGAAGTCCAAACTGAAGGCACCAGCAGATTTGATGTCTAGTGAGGACCCATTTCTCATAGGCAGCTTTTCCATCATCCTCACATTTGAAGAGGTGAAGCAGGGCAGGGCATTCCCTTCAATCTCTTTTGTAAGAACACTAACCTTATTCATGAGGACAGTGTGCTCGTGACTTAATCGCCTCCAAAACTGCCCCACTACTTGATACTATAACATGGAGTATTTGGTTTCAACATATAAACTTTGAAGGGACATACACATTCAAACCATGGCACCAGGAAAAAGTGAATGTAAGAGGTCCTGCTAGTTCTGCTGCTGAAGTGTCATGTATCCCCCACTCTATAGTTCCACAATCACCACCTATGTTGATATCTTTTTCAGTATCCCATGGAATAAAGTGCTTTTTTTGTTTTTTTCTTCTATTGTACCTCATATAATTCATGATGTAACACAGTAGTATAATTAGCATCTCCATTTACATCTCATTGTCTTAAAAGTCCTGTACTTTACAAATTGAGGTTCCAATTGTGTCCATACATTAATGAGGCAGAGAAAAATTTATATTGCCTGAGTTGCACCAAACTGTCTGTCTCTGTAAAATGAGAACTAGAGCAGCTATTGGCCGGGCGTGGTGGCTCACACCTGTAATCTCAGCACTTTGGGAGGCCGAGGCGGCCGGATCACGAGGTCAGCAGATCGAGACCACGGTGCAACTCCGTCTCTACTAAAAAATACAAAAATTAGCCGGGCGGGGTGACGGGCGCCTGTAGACCCAGCTGCTGGGGAGGCTGAGGAAGGAGAATGGCATGAATCCGGGAGGCGGAGCTTGCAGTGAGCCAAGATCGCACCACTGCACTCCAGCCTGGGTGACAGAGCAAGACTCCGTCTCAAAAAACATAATAAAATAAAATAAAGCAGCTATTACATCAGAGAATTTCAAGAACTAATGATATATGACCGGATAGTGGTTATTTATTTTGTTTTCTTTTTTTTTTCTTTTCTTTTTTTTTTTTTTTTTTTTACTTTTTCTGGTGGTTAAAGTGTTATTGAATTCTGACTCCCCCAAAATTCAAGCAGAATAATATATTGAAAATTTTTTAAACGTTTAATTAATAAAAATTGTATATATTCAAGGTGTACAATGTGATTATTTGATATACATCTATATTGTATAATTATTACCACAACCAAATTAATTAAAACGTTCTTTTACCACCCATAGTTACCACTGCGAGTGTGTATCAAGGGGATATCTAACATTTTCTCTCTTATCAAATTGCAAGAAAACGGTGCAGAATTATTAACTATAGTCACCATGTTGTACATTAAATCTCTAGAACTTATTCATCTTATAACTAAAAGTTTGTATCTCGTGACCAACATTTTCGCATTTCTCACCCACCTAGGCCCTGGCAAACCATTTTCCTCCCTGCTTCCATAAGTTCAGCTTTTTAAAATTCCACAGACAAGTGAAATCATACAGTGTTTTTCTTTCTATGTCTGGCTTATTTCACTTAGCATAATGTCCTCCAAGTTTGTCCATGTTGTCGCAAGTAGCAGGATTCTCCTCTTTTTATGGCTTAACATTCCATTGTATATATGTGTACACCAAATGTTCTTTATCTGTTTATCCATTCACAGATAAGTGTTTTCCATATCTTGGTAATTGTGAATAATGTTGCAGTGATCATGGGGCAGGCAGTGTCTCTGAGACACTGATTTTATTTCATTTGGACAAATACCCAGAAGAAGGATTATTGTATTGTGTGATTGTTCTATTTTTAATTTATTGAGGAAACTCTGTACTGTTTTCCATAATGGCTATACCAATTTACATTTCCACCAACAATGAACGAGAGTTCCCTTTTCTCCACCTGTTATGGCTTGTCTTTTTGATAATAGCCATCCTAAGAATTGTAAGGTGATATCTCATTTTGGTTTTGATTTTGCATTTTTCTAAAGATTAATGATATTGAGCACCTTTTCATATATCTTTTGGCCATTTGTATGTCATTTTTGAAAAATATCTGTTTAGGTCCTCTTCCCATTTTCTCCAATTAGGTTATTTTATTTTCTTTTTTGCTATTGAGTTGTGTAATTTCTTTATATATTTTGGGTGTTAAACCCTTATCAGATGGTTTTTCAATGTTTTCTCGCATTGATTGCTTCTTTAGTTATGTCAAAGCTTTTTAGTTTAATATAGTCCCACTTGTTTATTTTTGCCTTTATTCCCTGTGCTTTTGGTGTCATATACAAAAAATCATTGCCAAGGCCAATAACAAGGAGCTTGCTTCCTATATTTTAGCACACAAAAATGTCTGGTACCTCATTGAAATCTTCCACTTAGCTTGATTTTGACATAAGGGTAGCAGTAAATTAATGTCTAAATTAGCTCTTATTTTATAAATATGAAATTCCTCAACAATTTTGAGATTATAAGGAGAGCAGTTTACCTGGCAATTTACTTTGCATAGTAAATCAGTTTTTATTGAATTAGGGAATGTGATGTAATGCAGGAGAAAATAATGTTCCTTGGCTAAAGATCTGAGGATGATAATTATGTGCTGGAGCATGGCAGGATGTTTGTGAGTTATTAACCATACCAACCACCTGCAATTCATTGATTCTAAGGGATATGTTGTATAACAATGTTAAGCTTAAGCTTCATATATTTCTGGTATCAAGATAAAACTGTTTTATGAATAGCCTTTAATTTTGAGAAATTTTGTCTTATGAGTTTTAGGGGGAAAACATAATTTTTTTTTTTCTCCTTTGGAGCACCTTTGGTAATTACTCACATATTTTTCCCTTGGAAATTTAGTTAACACAGGACGGTATTTTTCCAGTATCTTTTCATTTGAGAGTATTACAAGTGTCTTTTTCAAGACTACCTCTTCCAGTGTGTAATGACTGGAGTGGGAACATTTTTTTAATAAGGCCAACAATTTATTTTGAGTATTATACTGTCTCTATTCTGAGGCCATTTGAAAATGTTCAGAGAGATGTTGAAGGTGTGTAAATGAGGCTCTGTTTCAGTCTAGTGTTGCTTGCATTTAAATGCCTTCCCAATCTCTGGGAAGGGATTTAAGATCCTTCACAATATGTGAGTGAGAAAGGAGACCACATATGCTTTGGAGTTTATTCTGAATACATAAAGAAGTTAAGATGACTATCTTTGAAGTCTCCAGAGTATTTTTTCTTTTTTTTTTTTTTTGCTTACACTTCTGAATCCAAGCCCAATGTATTTTCATAAGAAGGATTTGGGGGATTGGCTACTGTATTAGTCCGTTCTATGTTGCTGTAACAGGATACCTGAGGCTGGGTAATTTGTAAAGAAAAATGTTTATTTGGCTCACAAATCAAGTGGCTGCAAAATCCAGGATTAGGCAACTGTGCCTGGTGATGGCCTCAGGCTGCTTCTACTCATGGCGGAAAGTGGAAGGGGAGTTGATGTGTGCAAGATCACATGGCAAGAGATCATATGGTAAGGGAAGAAGCAAGAAAGCAAAACCAGGGGGGCTCAGCTCTTCAAAGCTCACTCTCTTGGGAACTAATCCATTCTTATGAGTGGGAAAACTCACTCAATATTAAGACAATGGCACCAAGCTATTGATGAGAGATCCACCTCCATGATCCAAACACCTCACACTCGACTCCATCTTTCAATACTGCCATATTTGGGATCAAATTTCAACATAAGTTTTGGTAGAGGCAAACACATAATATCCAAACCGTAGCAGCTACAAACAGCCTTGTTCAATATTTAAAGCTTTTCTAAGCTTTTCTGGTTTCCTGTGCAGTCTGGGGGAATGCTAAAGGCATGCTTGGAATCTTCCTCTTCTAGCGTTTAAATCTGTTTTTTTTCTCTGTATGAGGTACCCACCATCATATGAATAAATTGGTATAGATTCTTCGGTTCTATATTATATGGTTAAAAATAATTCCAAATTCCCCTGCAAATTTTTTTCTATTTTGTCTAGGCTTTGCCAAGTCTTTGACAATGGCTCTCAGCTTAGAAGGAAAACCGGAGCTTAAAATTTAAAAAAAGATTTTTCCTTTTTTCCTGTTCTGAAAGGGCACTTATTTTAGAGGTAATTGAGCTTTGTGAATTTTTCCATTGGCCTGGGGTAAAGGAGAGCAGATCAAAGGAAAAGATAAGGATAAAGAAAAAGGAGAATGAATAAGGAGAATAGTAAGATAAAAACTATTAGTTTTGAGCTATGGTTGAATGGATATAAAAGAGAGTTTTGTGGGTTTTTTTACACTTTACTTTTGAATTGTCCAAAGGATAATGTTAAGAAAGCATTCCAATATGTGAATTTATTTTGGATGCTTCCTTATGCCAATGAAAAAGACAGACTATTGAACATTTAGTAATTTTTCCCTTTTTTGTTCTGTCTTTCAAAGAAACAATTACATTCATATAAAAGTCCCTAAATTGGCCACTATAATTCTAAATATTCCTTGGTTATATTATTACCTTTACAAAATAAAGTACACAAGTTTGATTTATAGCATAAATATTTGTAAGAAGCAGGAATTAAGCCTGGAGAGGGTATGAAATTATATTTAGACAGAAACAAACCGAGTTTGGGAAAAGTTGTATAAAGTCTTATTGTGTTGTTTTTTTTTTTTTTATATCTCAGGTTCTTTGGCCTAGTGTATGGCTGCCAACTTACGTTTGCAGTTGACGTCCACCTGCAAACATAATAAAACTGTAGTGTGCATCAGTCAAAGGTCTGGAGAGGAGACTCCTAAGAAGCAGACACTCAACTGGCAAAACAAGCTTGATCACAGTTCTTAAAAGGTTTTTATTCATAATCTGAAGCCAAGTTTTCCCAAGATTGCTCATATCAGAAGCTTTCTGAACTTAGTCTCAGGGACTGGCTTGGTAAATGGCATCCAGGCCCATATGCCTTTCCTCTTCCCTAGAATATTTTCTTTTCTGACCATACAGCAAACAATGAGAAAAACAAAGAGAAAAAGCAATGTTGTTAGTAATTTAAGAAGAATTCAACAAAGGATAAAATACTTTTAAATACGATAATATTAAAGCATTCCTCAAATTGGGTTCCTCACTCCTAGGAAACCAACTAAACAGCATTCAGTGAGTTCAATAAAAGGAAAAAAAATTATTTTTTAAAAGAAATGACTTGGATGTAAGATTGACTTACCTGTGGCTGTCAATGTGACTCCCAAGTGAGAGAATCAAGGGGCCTCAGAGAAGCAAGCTGTTATTATACTAAGTTAAAGGTCTTGGATTATAGTAGTAAGGAGGTCTCAGGTGGATTTTGGTAGAACTGCAGGATCATCGAATGATAGCTTCCAGCATGTACCACCAAAACAACCTGTTGATATGCCAAACCCAAGTGTATTCTCACTGCAGTCAGAAAGGTTATTACCTGGACAGAGTTAGCTACCTCTCTAAGGGAAGAGAATAAAGTCAGCATAGTTACAAGGTTTTGCAGTCTTGTTTAACTGTGGACCTTCAAAATAGGGCCTTGATTAGGTGAAGGATCATGATATAAGATTGAGGATTGGTAGATAGAGCAAACACTTTAATTTTCATAGTGTCTTTTGATATTCTCTTATGGTCTCCTATTATTTGTTATATTAACTAAACATGATTTGATCTATCTAAAATAATAGGGCCCTATTTATAAAATATTGTAGTATTTATATCACTTAAGATTTGAATGCAGTACTAAGCAGGCTCATTTAAAATTATTTATTGACTTCCAGAACGATGGTGTAAGGAGTCCTCTAGACAGGTTTTCCAGTGAAACAATTCTAATTGATGAAAAATGTATGAAATAACAATATAAAGCCTTTGGAAATTGTGCTGAGGGCATATAGTGAATAAAGAGTAACTTATTTAAAAATATTACTCTCAATAAAAACAGTAGCTGTGGCACTTGAGACACGACCATCCCTTATTCTTCTCCAGCTCGTCTTGTAAGCTCCAATTTGTGTAGGCATGGCCAGGAAGAGGGCACTTCTCTCCTTAGCTACAAAATAAGGAATACACTGTCTTAATGGAAGAGGCAGGATACCATCATTCTTACCCTATTGAACTCTAAGTTGCAAAGGCTAAACGACTGGTGAGTTCAGATAAGAGGTTGGGGGCTCATTTTCTTCACCCAGTCTCCACTCATGGAAGGGATTCTTTACCACAGGTGTGGCAGGCTGAGACTACAAAGGTCTTTCATGACTTAATCCCAGTTCATCCATAGGCCAAAGATTGTATACCAGGAGAGGTAATTCCAAATGAATAAAATCTATTGCCTCTGCTCAGCACCTGGAACAGTGGCTCACAGATTTTACCCAAGAGGAGCGGCAGGCCATAAGAACAACAGGTCAAAAGCTCTTCCTAAATGAATTCATTTTATTTTTAACACAGTTCAAGGAAGTTTAAGCTTAATGATACTCTCAGAAACAAGTATTTAGGTCGTAAGCAATTCAGAGCAAGCTAGTAGCTCTGTGAGAGCAACAAGTTAAACCATAGGCAAGCTAGTTTACTAGAGAAAAGAAGAAAAAGTTAAAGAAGAGTCTTTCTGAGGTTAAAACATCCTCAGAGACAGACCTGAAAAACTACTCCTGTCTGAACTTAACTGGATTAGACTGTGGAGCAATTTATGCACCAGAGCATGGTTGAAGCCTATGGAGCAATCAGTTGGCAATCAGTAGAGCATAACAGGTAGGTGTCACACCAAGGTAGGCAGAAAGTGTAACAGAGATAATAGAAAAGTGACAACCCAAACCACTGTCATCTCATCATGGCTGTAAACATATCCACGCCTGTGCTTTCTGTGGAGAAATATTAGAAGCTTCACACTATAAAAGAAAAAGACTTTATTCAAATAATATAGCAAAGTAACTAAACAAATACATAAGCAAACAATAATAATGGCAAAGCCAAGAAAGGGGAAGATGAATTGGTATTCCTATTTACTACAATATATTACCTAAAATATTCAATTTAAAACAAAATATTATGAGACATGCAAAGCAACAAGAAAAGGTTACCCTTGTAAAGAGAAAAAAAAAATGGCAACAGTAATTGCTTGTGAAAAAAACCCAGATGTTAAATTGAACAAAGACATCATAGCAGCCATTATAAATAGTTGATTCTCATTAATTGTGGATTCCACATTGGTAAATTTACCAATTTACTAAAGTTTGTTTGTAACTTTTAAATCAATACTGGTGACAATTTTATGGTCATTTACAGACATGTGCAGAGTAGCAATTCCCAGCTGAGATTAAACAGGGAGACACTGTGTCTTTTTGTGTCAACTCTCATATAAACAAGGGTCCTTCTTACTGTATAGTTTGGAACACATTTTTAATAATTTTTGTTCATTTCATTGGTGATTTTGCTGTTTAAAATGAAATGGTCCCTAAACGGCCAGGCGCTATGGCTCATGCCTATAATCCCAGCACTTTGGGAGGCCAAGGTGGGCACATCTCGAGGTCAGGAGTTCAAGACCAGCCTGGCCAATATAGTAAAATCCCATCTCTACTAGAAAAAAAAAAAAAAATTAGATGGGCATGGTGGCAGGTGCCTGTAATCCCAGCTACTCAGGAGGCTGAAGCAGGAGAATCGCTTGAACCTGGGAGGTAGAGGTTGCAGTGAGTCAAGATCACACCATTGCACTCCAACCCAGGTGACAGTGCGAGAGTCTGTCTCAAAAAAAAAAAAAAAAACAAAAAAAAAAACCAATGGTCCCTAATCATATAGCTGAATTGATGTCTAGTGTTCCTAGGCACAAGAAGGTTGTGATATTCTCTACAAAGAAAAGCCGTGCATTAGATAAGCTTTATTCTGGCATAAGTTATAGTGTCACTGACTGTAAGCTCAATGTTAATCAAAAACACATTAAATAAAGGGTATTTAAACAATAACACATATAAAACAAGCTTCTGTATCGATTAGTCGTGACCAGAGACTCACAAGAGCCAAAATCTCTATTTCCGATAGGATCAGTGTTTCAGTATTTGCTACTTCATTGTTCACAGCAACTTTGTAGAACATCATTACTGCAAATAATGAGAACAACTGTATTTCAAAGAAAGAAAAAAAGATTATGCCGAAAGATGTGAAGAAAGCTATAATGACAATGTCTCATCAAATGCAGAGTATCACTAAAGAAATAGAAATTACAAGAAAAAATAACCAAATAGATATTCTAGAGGTGACAAGAATACTAACTGAAATAATAATTTTATAATGTATATTTACCCTGGCAGAAGAATCAGTGAACACGAAGACAGATCAGTTGATATTATGCAGTCTTAAGAACTGAGTGAAAAAAGAATGAAAACTAAATATAGCATCACAGAAATGTGTAACACCATTAAGCACACCAAAATACACATAGTGTGAGCACCAGAAGAAGAGGGAAGAGATACAGAAGAAAAAAAATTATAAAAATAACGGCTGAAAATTTTCCAAAATAATTGAAGATTTCAATATTCCACTTAATAGGACAACTAGGAAGAAATCAACAAGGAAATAGAAGATGTGAACACTACTACAGAACAACTGAAGCTGACAGACCTTAGGACACTGCACCCCAAAACAGCGTAATGTACACATTCTTCTGGAGTACACATCAAATATTCTTTAAGATAGAAATATGCTAATCCTTGGGAGGCTGAGGCGGGCAGATCACCTGAGGTCAAAAGTTCAAGACCAGTCTGACCAACACGGAGAAACCCCCGTCTGTATTAAAAATGCAAAATTCGCTGGGCATGGTAGCACATGCCTGTAATCCCAGCTACTCGGGAGGCTGGGGCAGGAGAATGGCTTGAACCTGGGAGGTGGAGGTTGTGGTTAGCCGAGGTCACGCCATTGTACTCTAGCCTGGGTGACAGAGTGAGACTCCATCTCAAAAAAAAAAAAAAGGTTAGTAAATTTTTTGTTTGTATTTTTAGTAGAGACTAGGTCTCGCCATATTGGCTTGACTGGTCTCGAACTCCTGACCTCAGGTGATCCGCCCTCCTGGGCCTCCCAAAGTGCTAGGATTACAGGCATGAGCCACCATGCCTGGCCTAATGAACAACTTAAAAATGAAATTAGGGAAACAATTACATGTATAATTGCATCACAAAGCATACAATATTTAGGACTATTTTAATAAAAGGAGAGCAAATCTTAGACTCTGATAACTACAAAATGTTTTTGGAAATTAAGAAAGACCTAAAGAAGTGGAAAAATGTACTGTTTTCCTGGATTCATGGAATAGAAGACAATATTGATAAAATGACAGTACACCTCATATTGATCTACAGATACAAATTAATCTTTATTTAATCCCAACTGCTTATTTTTCAGAAAATGACAAGTTGATCCTTAATTTATGTGGTATGTAAATGAACCCCAAATAGCCAAAATAAATTTGAAAATGAAAATCAAAGTTGGAGAACTACTTACTGATTTAAAACCTATCACAAAGCCTTATGTACAGTAATCAAAACAGTGAGGTACTGGCATAAGGAAACACGTGCAGATCAGTGAGATACAGTTGAGATGGTAGAAATATACCCACATGCCTATGGTTAACTGATTTTCAACAAGGGAGCATAGACAATTTAATGGGGAAATAATACTTTCTTCAACAAATGATGTTGGGACAGGTGGATATCCATATGCAAAGAATGCAGTCGGGACCCTACAAACATACCTTGTACAAAAATTGACTCAAAATAGATCAGGAATCAAAATGTAAACACTAAAATAATAAAATTCTTAGAAGAAAACATAGAAGTAAGTACCTGTGACCTTGTATTAGCCAAAGGATTTTTAGACATGACCCTCAAAATGCAAACAAATAAAGAGAAAATAACTAAAGTTTATCAACATTTAAAACCTTTGTGCTTCAAAGGACACTATCCAGGAAAGTAAAAAAATAAACAAACAAAATGCACAGGCAGCCTTCCTTCCCAGAGAAAAGCTGAAAGAGGACAGTGGTCCATGAGGCTTGTGGCAAACACACAATGCCAGTGTTCGAAAATTAGGCAAATGGCTCCTTGGCAGTGGAGGGGCCCTCGGGATGGGGTAGCCTGGGCTTCAATCTCCCCTTAGGTTGCAAGAAGTTGACTGGCAGCAAGTGTGGAAGCAACAGCAGCTTAAGTATAAGCTCTGGAGTGTTTATGTGCTCCCCCTCAACCAGAGTTGTGAGATGCCATGCAGCCCAAATGGCTGGAAGGGATTCTACTGTCCAAGAATGGGAATTCCACTTCAGAATATGGAGACTGTTCAGTTACTCTCAACACAAAGTTATCATTTTTGGGCTGGATAATTCAAGATAATCTACCAGTCTTTACCAGCTTTTTATGAATGAAGATTCACATCCATTTCCCACAATAGGAAGTAATGTTGAAGAGACAGTGGTTTAGTAATACATATTTCCTAATGTGAGATACTGGTGTCCAAGAACATCTTCATTTTTCCTGGACACTTACTATGCTAACTGGATTTGTAATAGTTGTCATGGACGGTACAGACCGAGAGAGAAAGGATTTCTGTAACTAGAGAAGAACTTTATAAAAAGTTAGCACTTGTGCACCCAAGGAAAGTTGGAATGCTGATTTTTGCTAATAAACAAGGTGCTAAATAATACATGCCTGACTGTACCTGAAATCTCTCAAGTTTTCAAACTAACATCTGTTAGAGATGACCAAGCATAAACAGGAATATTGTGTTGTTACTGAGAGGGATTAGGCTAACTTAAATGTATAATGTTACAATTTAAGATTAGCTTATTTCTACAGATTCCTTCTCATTGCCTGTATGTAAAGAAATGCTGGACTTTACCTGAAAGCAGCAAACATTAATGGTTTATATATATTTCTAATAAACTGATTTAAAGTGTTTTATGTGTAAAGAAAAATTAAGTTCATTTATTTGAAAACAAGGTAAAGTTTCACTTTCCTGTTCGTCTTCTCGTTAGTTCATTCCAAAGTAAGGTCTTAAAGCTGTGCTTGACATTGTTTTTTCAAAACGAATCCTCTCAGGACATTACGTCACCCATGCTAAATACAAAGGGAGGGGAAGATAATTTTAACTTTAAAAGATTTATTATCAGTATAACCTTTCTTATAAACATCTTAATCCTTCTTAACTGAAGGTTTTTTCCTCTTCTTGTTACATCAAGACAAAATGTAAATCAACTTAGCTATTCAATTTCCAATCTCCTAAAACCATGTAACTTGTGAAAAGTATTTTGCATAAGGTAGTGTATATAAATCAAGTTCAAGTTAATGTCTTTGATTTATGTTCTAAAGAAAAGTGAATAATACATTAATAAGGTACTTAGCTATAACCATAGTGAGATAAATGCCACCATTGATGTTAAGTGGCATTTTGTATTTTCCCGTTATATTGTACCAACCAACACCCAAACCATTGAATTGCCCTTTAAAAGAAAGAAGGCTCTGCAAGAAACACAAATATTAGTCAGGCATGGTGGCACGTGCTTGCAGTTTTGGCTACTCGGGAGGCTGAGGTGGGAGGATTACCTGAGCCCAGAGAGGTTGAGGCTGCAGTGAGCCAAGATTGTGCCATGGCATTCCAGCCTGGGTGACAGAGTGAGACCCTGTCTCAAAAAAAAAAAAAAAAAAAAAAAAATTAAAAAAGAAAGGAAGGGAGAAAGTAATAAATGGTATGGAAGAAAATAATAAAAAGGAAAAAAAGCTTGACATTGTATACATATTTTTGCTAAATGACACACACAGAAGCATGTAATACAAATGAGTAGAATATACATGAAAATATTGAATTAGTATTACTAAGAGGTAAAATTTCACAGTAAGCAAGTATCAGATTATTTCCTTTATTAGTCCTGCCAACCACGTTACCAGATAAATTGTTAATTTGGTAATTAGTCAATTGTGATTAAAATTATCAAGTGATCTTTTCAGTGCTAATTGACAACTGCTGTGTGAAAGTAGTCTCTCTAGAGAATAATACTCTATGAATAATATCAAATAATTTATCCAGAGTATTTTTAGGCATTAAATTATGTCAAATATTAAAAAATAAATTTGAGATTAAAAGTAACGAATATCGGCCGGGCGCGGTGGCTCACGCCTGTAATGCCAGCACTTTGGGAGGCCGAGGCGGGCGGATCACGAGGTCAGGAGATCCAGACCATCCTGGCTAACACGGTGAAACCCCGTCTCTACTAAAAATACAAAAAATTAGCCGGGCGTGGTGGCAGGAGCCTGTAGTCCCAGCTACTCGGGAGGCTGAGGCAGGAGGATGGTGTGAACCTGGGAGGCGGAGCTTGCAGTGAGCTCAGATGGTGCCACTGCACTCCGGCCTGGGTGACAGAGAAAGACTCCGTCTCAAAAAAAAAAAAAAAAAGTAACGAATATCTTCTAAGAAACAACATTAATTTATATTACTATTTCAAAATTTCTTATTGTAGAAATTGGAATATTCTCAGAGATTTTATTTCTAATACTTGTCTTTTATCTTTGTCTACCACATGAATATATTGTTTAACAATTAGAAAATCCAATATATTTAAATTATTTTAAGAATTTATTTTAAAAATTGATTGATATGGTACATTATTTGTATTAAGAAATAACTTAGTCACCACAGTACCTTAAAAAGCTCCACCTAAAGAATAGGAGAAAATTTTTCTAAATCTTATGTCTGATATGGGACTTGAATACAGACTGTATAAAGAATTCTATAACTCAGTGATAAAATCTAATTATTATATGGGCAAATGATTTGAATAGACATTTTCCAAAGAAGATATACAAATGGCCAATCTTTATAATTTTTCTTTTTCAGGATGTCATGTAAATGGAATCACACACTGGTTTTTGTCACCATAATACATTTAATATCCATCTATATTGTTGTATAACACATGCATTTATTATCTTAAAGATCTGTAGGGAAAGTGACACAGGTCTTACTGGGCTAGCTGTCACCAAGGTTATGCTTCTTTCTAGATGCTCCAGGGGAGAATCTGTTTCCATGACTTTTCCAGCTTCTAGAAACTACCTCCATTCTTTGAATTGTTGCCCTGTTCATCTATCTTCAATGCCAGCAACATCATATCTTTCTGAACATTCTTAGATTATATTGTTCTCTCTGATTATAACCAGGAAACACTCTCTACCTTTACTAATTTATAAGGTTAGATTGGTCCACCTGAACAATCCTGGATAACTTCCCAATCTCATGGTCCATAACTTTATTCCCATGTCCAAGTTCCCATTATGATGGCAAGTAATACACTCACACATTCTCGGAATTCAAACATGGTCATGTTTAGGAAGCATTTTTTTATGCCTACTACAAGTTTCTTTTCATTGACGAGGATTCCATTGTATTGATGTGTCAAAATTTATTTAGACCATTGCCAGTTGATGAACATTTGAGTTGTTGGCAGTTTTTGGTGATTATCAATAAAGCTTCTATTTACATTCTATGGATCTATGTTTTTGCTTCCATTGGGCAAATACCTTGATAATCCCTGCATAATTATTTAATATTACTAATATCAGAAGAGAGTTTAAGTTTTGGAAAGCTTTCAAGCTTACTGTGGTGGATACAAGTTTTTCAAAATACTGCTTTTTGCTAAAGACCTTGAATTTTATCATTGGTCATTATTGTCCTTGAAGTTATAGGCCCGTTTTGGTCACCTTCCAGAAACTATTTGCCAAACAACCAAATCTGACAAAGATATAGTTTGCTTGACAGTTGTTATTATCACGTGAATTTTCTGTGCCATGACAAAAATGGCTAATTCAGGTTGCAACTAAAACAATCACACAAGTGCTTTTTCCTAATATAAGCATCCTGCTTCTCCTGCCAGGTAAGTATTAACTATCCTACTTCCATATGCAATAGAAGTGTTTTATGAGTACTCTTCACGTGTTACACAGAATATTAAAAAGTTAGATCCTCATGGTCAAGATTAATTAGATTAATAATTTCTTTTCTTCTTCAAGAATATTCGTAAGTGAAACTGATTTTTTTGTGTGTGTAACTGCTTTGATTCATGCTTAGACTCAGCAGTTTGTCCAACATTAACTTTACACCACCATTGCTTCGCACAACAGAGAGGACAAATAGTGCTTTATTATTATCTGGAACATAGTTTTGACCTCCTGGACCCCCTGAAAGGATGTTGAAGACTCCCACACTTTGAGAATGGTTGCTGCTGATAAATCATTGTCCATAGACTCCCGAAAGGCAGAGGATCTCTTTTATAAAGTAATAAAATACTCTTTGGCAACTATATATAAATACCACAGTACTAAAAATATATGATCTGTATGTTACATGTATGACATTTCCAATATCTTTTTTAAAATTTTAGTTACTGAGCTGAGGCTAGAGTTGCTTTATGCTGGCCTGTAAACATAATTAAGTTTCAGTGTTCTGTGTATTGAACAACTGAATGTACAGATGCTATCTGTGAGGTAAGGTTAATATTCCTATCTTACACATGAGGAATTTTTGCTTAAGGGAAGTTAATTAATTTTATAATATGTGATTGTATTAGTTCTTTCCTCCATTGCTATAAAGAAATAGCTGAGACTGGGTAATTTATAAAGAAAAGAGGTTTAATTGACTCATGGTTCTGTAGACTAAACAGAAAGCATGTTGCTGGCATCATCCTGGCATCTGAGGAGGCCTCAGGAAGCTTTTAAATCGTGAGAGAAGGTGAAGGGGAAGCCAGCAGGTTACATGACCAGAATGGGAGCAGGGGGAGTGGGGAGGTACCACATATTCTTGAAGAATCAGATCTCATGAAAACTCACTCTCTATCATGATGACAGAACCAAGCTATGAGGGATGCACTCTCATGACCAAAACACCTCCTACAAGGTCCCACCTCCAACACTAGAGGTTACAATCCAACATGAGATTTGGGTAGGGACAAATATCCAAACTATATTATTCCACCTCTGGTCCCCCAAAAATCTCATGTCCTTCTCATATTGCAAAATACAATCATGCCTTCCTAATAGTCCCTCAATATCTTAATTCATCCCAGCATTAAGTGAAAAATCCAAAGTCCAAAGTCTCATCTGAAATGAGGCAAGTCCCTTCCACGTATAAGCCTGAAAAATAAAAACAAGGTATTTACTTTCAAGATAAAATGGAGGTACAGGCATTGGATAAACATTCTCATTCCAAAAGGGAGAAATTGGTCAAAAAAAAAAAAAAAAAAAGGCTACAGGGCCCATGCAAGTTTGAAACCAAGCAGGACGGTCATTAAACCTCACAACTCCAAAATAATCTCCTTTGACTCTGTCCAACATCTGGGGCACAGTGCTGTGAAGAGTGGGCTTCCAAGCCCTTGGGCAGCTCTGCCTCTGTGGCTTTTCAGGGCTCAGCCCCCCTTGGCTGCTCTTATTGGTTGTGGTTGAGTGCCTACAGCTTTTCCAGGTGAAGCATGCAAGCTGCCAGTGGATCTACATTTCTGGGGTCTGGAGAATGGTGGCCTTCTTCTCACAGCTCCACTAGGCAGTTCCCCACTGGGGACTCAGTGTGGGGGCTCTAACCCCACATTTCCCCTTGCCACTACTCTGGTAGAGGTCCTCTGTGAGGGCCCTGCCCCTGCAGCAGGCTTCTGCCTAGGCACTCAGGTTTTCTCATACATCCTCTGTATGAGATGTATGAGAAATCTAGGCAAAGGCTGCCAAGCCTCCCTTCATTCTTGCACTCTGTAACCCTGCAGGCTTAACACCATGTGGTTGCTGTGAAGGCTTATGGCTTGTGTTCTACAAAATGGCAGCCTGAACTCTTGATTGGGCTTCTTTGAGCCATGGCTGGAGCTGGGATGGTCAGAATGTGAGGAGCCCTGTCCTGAGGCTGTGCAGGGGGTCAGTGGGCCCTCACCAATAAAACCATTCTTAACTCCTAGGCCTCTGGGCTTATGATGGGAAGGGCTGCCACAAAAGTCTTTGAAATGCCTTCAATGCCTTTTTCCCATTGTCTTGGATATTAGCACTTGGCTCTTTGTTAGTTATGCAAATATGTCTAGCAAGTAGTTGTTCCACAGCCTGCTTGAATTCCTCTCCAGAAAAAGCTTTTCATTTCTTTGCCACATAGGTAGGCTGCAAATTTTCCAGACTTATCCTCTCCTTTCCTTTTAAATGTAAATTCCAACTTCGAGTCATTTATTTGGTCCTGCATCTGAGCATAGGTTGTTTGTTAGAAGCAGCGAGGTCAAATCTTGAATGCTTTGCTGCTTAGAAATGTATTCTGTCAGATACCCTAAATCAGCATTCTGAAGTTCAAACTTCCACAGATCCCCAGGGCAGGGGCACAATGCAGCAAATCTCTTTGCTAAGATGCAACACACTTACTCTTTGCTCCAGTTCAAAATAAACTCCTCATTTGCATCTAAGACCTCTTCAGCCTAGATTTCACTGTCCATGTCACTATCAGCATTTTGGTTACAACCATTCAACTAGTTTCTAGGAAGTTCCAAACTTTTCCTCATCTTCCTATCTTATTCTGTGCCCTCCACACTCTTCCAACCTCTGCCTGTTACCCAATTCCAAAGTGGTTTCCACATTCTCAGGAATCTTTATAACAGTGCTCCACTCCTAGGTACTAATTTTACGTATTAGGCCATTCTTGCATTGTTATAAAGAAATACCTGAGGCTGGGTAATTTATATATATATAAAAAAAAAGACATTTGATTGGCTCATGGTTCTGCAGACTGTATAGGAATCATGATGCCAGCATCCTCCTGGCTTCTGGGGAGGCCTCAGGAAGCTGTCAATCATGGGAGAACATGAAGGGGGAAGCAGCACATCACATGGCCAGAATGAGAGCAAGGTGAGGGGAGGTGCTACACACTCTTAAACAACCAGATCTCACAAGGACACACTTGCTATTGGGAGGACAGCACCAAGCCATGAGGGATAAGCTCTCAGGAGCCAAATACCTTCTACTAGGCCCCACCTCCAAAACTGGGGAATACAATTCAACATGAGATTTTGGCAGAGACAAATATCCAAGCTATATCAGGAGTTAAGATTCAAAGCCAGGTCTGTCAGAATTGAATATTTGGGCTCTTTTTGCTATAGCATGCTGCCTTCCTATCACATAAATAGTAACTCTGGAAATGAAGTGGGAATAATAATAGAAGTCAATAATGACATGTACATATGAATATATTTCTATTCCTTTCATTTATAAAATATTGAATTTCACATTTTATATGAGGCTTAGCGTCAATGAGCTTTTCCATGGATGTTACTTCAAATTTATCTTATGATATCTTGTTCAGTTTGAAACCGGAGGCTTCTAACAACTGTCATTTTATCCAGTCATAAATTAGGGAAGTCAAAATTGATTAATTCATTCTTGTCACTGTTCTATCCTTAATCTTTCCAGTGATTTCTAAGCAATTTACTTTTAATTTGTTTAGTTTATGGAAATTGCTAGTAGTGGAATTATGTTTGAGATTTCCCCAAAAGAGAATTTTATTAAAGAACTGAGTTGGAAAAAAATTACATTCTTTAGAGACATATTGAGGCACAATTTTCCATAAATCCAGTTCATCTCTGGGTAATTATGGCCATGTCCTTCTGATACTGACAGAATTGGATATGACATAAGAGTTTGATTGATCTTATGATTTGTGATTCTTTTTGATGTCCCCACAAGTAGCACTCGTAGGGGAGTCAGTATTAATAAGATTCATTACTCATGGATCTATGCAAACAGGCTAGTGCATATCAAGATGAATATTTCATTTAGGGCAATGTGGGCTTGAGATGCAGGTTGAAGAGGTGGAATGATCAACTGAAATTGTATAGACTTCCTTCTATACTGAACACTCTGATCCAAATATAACTCTAAGCTTCTCATCCTACTTCTATGACTGTCTCTTTACTCTTTATCTACTAGGTTATATAATGTAATCCATATCCTAAACATGGACATTGGTACAGTGGAAAGAACACTTGGACAGGAATAGGATGACCTGAGAATTGAAATACTATACCTTAGTGTACTTCTCTTTTCTGTGCCTCACTTTTTGGTTGCTGTAAAAAAAAAAAGAGGTTGGGCGAAATGAACTGAAATTCTTTTAACCTCTATCTTTGTGACAGTGAGAAAAGGAGAAAAAACTTGCACTATAATATTTGCCTACAGAGTTAATCAAATTAGGAACCAAAGAATAATACTCTATAATTGTAGTTTTTTGGTAATCCTTATCAGACTTTTGTTTTCCAGCTTATGATAAAGTCATAGAGATCTTCATCCTTTGAGGGTGCTCATATAGCATTCATATACATTGAATCTAGCTAACTGTGTCTAAAACACCACCAACATAAAGTATTAGTTCAATGGATGAAAACATCAGCTCAACATTAATTTAAAACATATGGCTACCCTCCAAAATTATTTGGATAAATTTTTCCTTTTTAATTGGCTGCTAGCCTGGTAAAGATGTAATCTCAAATCAAAAGCCTCAATAATAAGAGAGAGCATGAAAACATTTATTAAAAGCTACTTTTTAAAAAATGGATGAAAACTTTAAAAAGGAACTACAGTATAGAAAAATATGATGATATTAAAGTCCTGTAAACCAAAAGGCCAAAACAGGTTAAATATAATTTATGCTCACCAAATTGAGTCACTGTTTAGAATCTTGTCCTTTTCCCACGTGCAATCTTGGCTGCTAGAAACAATGATAGAATACATTGTTACTACATTGATCCACTAAATACCCTAATTGGCCCCAGGTATGCTGGGCTTTACTGGACAGCCCACTGAGTGCCAGCAGTTGACTAAAATGTTCTTATTCTGGGCCATCTGATAATGAGCAGGCGAGCCCGTTAATACATGTACCATTATGGCCTGATTGTGAACATTTCAGTTTTAATGACATTTTACTTAGCAGGGACACATTTTTAGAACACTAATCAGTGCTTTGAAGTTTATTTATATTTAGCATTCTTTGTTCTAAGTAGAAAACAAAACTATTAAAAAAAAACCACACAAAAGTTAAATGACCACCATTGTTGAGGATATCAATCAGACGACGGGAGAATGGTTACTATCTCAGGTTTCCAGGGATATTGAGATTAAACAACTTTTCTTATTATCTGTTGAGTCAGGCAGAAAATAAATTACAACACTGCTTTGGAAGTAGCAAGGACCACCACATTAAGTAAAAGGGGATTTCAGGAAGGAAGAAAGGTGGATACAGAATTTTCCTTGAAATAATTTTTATAAAAGACAAATACTAAATTAATCACACTGTATATGATGATTTAAAATGAGGGCATTTTCAACCACCTTTCTGGATTTACATTTTATTTTATTGTATTCTCAGGGAAACAGATTGAAGTATTGCTATAGATTATTGTAAACAATTTGAGAAAATAAATCTGAGTATGTGGAAGAAATTATTTCATAAGGCTGTAAAACTCTGAATAAAATAACTAAAAGCATTATGAACTCACTTGAAGAACTGGGTTCATTGTAATCAATGCATATAGATACACGCAAACATGGACCAGAAGCATGAGCATAATACATGCAAATCTGTGTTTTCAAATATTAGTGGAAATACTGCTCGTCCAAGTCATTAACATTGTTAGTATGCTCTGTATTGCTGTGGAAGACTCGTTGACTAATGGGATATGTACACCAAAAGTAATGTGAATATTTTCAGAAATTTGTACTTGTGAACTACAACATTGGCAAGTTTATTATAAAACATGTATAAGTCATAATATCTTCACTTAAAAAATTTAATATCCAAGGAAGGGGATTCTAACTAAAGGAAGCAGTTACAGCTTTAGTTCTCCAAATAAATAATAATAAGTACAGATTACTATAAGAGTGTTTAATGGGAAAATTGACTTATTCTGGGTTATCAGTGAAGATCTCTCTGTTATGGGAATAAGGCATATTAATTATTCATTCTTTTATGACTTTCGGAAGGGTTTGGCCAATGGAGGAACTCTAACAGATTAAAGAAAGGAAAAAATAAAGATATATTTATTCCCTCCGTTTTTTTCCCCCTGCATGGCTGCCTTAGGCTGTTTTTGTTCCTTGACCATCAGCCGCTACATATGTCCATCCCACACTTTCTACAGGATTCTCTCCCTCCTTCTTATCTCCTGGCCTAGGGGTGTTACTAGCCCTAAAATACTTCAGTGTCTCTTGTAGTTTCTCTAAAATGTGCCCACATCTTTGTAAATAGTCTCACAGTTAAGCCCTTTTTTATCCTAATTTGCTGTGTCCCTGATTAATAGAGGGTTTGTTAAGGTAGTTAAGCTGACACTAGTAAGATGACTAGAGGGTTGATAGGAAGAAAAATTTGCATGGAGGCATAAGAAGCAGATTGCGAAAGGAGAATATTGTCAGAGTGGGACTTGCATATACGAAGTCTTTAAGGCAAAAATGAGAAACACATTTTAGAGATCAAATAAAGGTCAGTATGGTTGGAGCCTATGAGCTTATTATGATTATTCATTCTTATGACAAACATTCAGAGAGTTCCTTCTGCTATGTATTTGCTACTTCTAGAGGGAGATACTAGGGACTAAAAGGAGGGATCAGACAAATTTGAACAGAATGTAGTTGTTATGGTAGAGACAAACGTGTTTGTTTCCTCCACTAGACTGCAGTGGAGTGATGATACAGGTTGTATAAAATGTTCTGGGATTATAATGAAGGGAAATATTAATTTTGACTAGAGGTATGTCTTATATATACAGTGATATTTGAGCTAGCATTCTAATATTGAGTAGAAATTTAGCAGGCTGAATCCATTGCACATGGGATTTAACAGTAGACACCATTGATATATTCATTTGCTCAACAAATATGTACTTGAGTGGTTACTATGTATGCCAGGAACTACTGTTCAAGCCACTGGAGATAAAACAGTACAAAGACTGACAGAATCCAAATTCTTATTAAGCTCATATTCTAGTGGAGGTGATTTAAATTAAACAAATCAATATATGTAATATAATTTCAGGTAGTAATATATGGTCTGAAGAAAAGTAAAACAGGATAATGAAATGAGAGTCCTGGAGTGGGTGTCTACAGCACTGTTTTAAACAGAATGATAATCTCATAAATGAAGCAGCAATGCAAGCAAAGATAAGGAGCAAGAATATTGGGGATCAGAAGAAATATCAAGTGAAAGACTGAAACAGGAAAACACTTGGGGGCATATTCAGAGAAAAGCAAATAAATCAATGTAGCTTTTAGGTATACGGCACAGGCTTTATGATAAGTTAGGGACTAAATAAGAAGAGTCTTATACGCCACACCAAAGAATTTTTATTTTATTTTTTAAATAATTGGGATCATCACTTGGTTTAAAGCAAACTTGACTGGAATCATCGTTGGCAATTTAGAAGATGATTTATCAAAGTAAAAAACTGAAGGCAAGTAATCAAGTTAGGAGGAGAGCAGACAGCATAGGCTACGATATTTTCAGCCTATTTTAGGACAATGGCCATGACATGGGAGAGGACAGGGTGAATTCTAGATGTTATGCAGAAACTTTTCTTTAACTTTTATTTTAGGTTCAGGGGTACATGTGCAGCTTTGTTATATTATATTGGTAAACTGTGGGTCATGGGGGTTTGGTGTACAGGTTATTTTGTCACCCAGGTAATAGGCATAGTACCAGATAGGTATTTTTTTCTGATATTCACCCTCCTCCCACTTTCCACCCTCAGTTAGGCCCACTTTCCACCCTCAGTTAGGTTCCCCTTTTTTGTCCTTGTGTTCTTGTTGTTTAGCTCCTACTTACAAATGAGAAAAAGTGGTATTTGGTTTTCTGTTCCTGCATTAGCTTGCTTAGGATAATGGCCTCCAGATCCATCCATGTTACCGTAAAGGACATGATCTTGTTGTTTGTTATGGCTGCATAGTATTCCACGGCGTATATGTACCACATTTTCTTTTCTTTATGCAGTCTACCATTGATAGGCTTTCATGTTGATTCCATGTCTTTGCTATGGTGAATCATACTGCAGTGAACATACACGTGCATGTGTATTTATGGTAAAACAATTTATATTCCTTTGTATCCAACCCAATAATGGGATTGCTGGGTCAAATGGTAATACTGCTTTAAGTTATTTGAGAAGTAGCCATACTGCTTTCCACAATGGCTGAACTAATTTATACTCCCCCCGGCAGTGTATAAGTATTCCCTTTTCTCTACAACCTTGGCAGCATCTGTTATTTTTTTGACTTCTTAGTAATAGCTATTCTGACCAGTGTGAGATGATATCTTACTGTGGTTTTGATGTGCATTTCTCTAAAGATTAGTGATGTTGGGCATTTCAGAAACTTGACAGGAATCTAGTAATGATGAAAGCAGAGATTTATATTTGTTTGTTTCTGTTTTGTTCATTGCAGCTTACCTAAGCATCAAGAACACAAGAATGTAATAGGTGCCCATTAACTATTTATTGGATGAGTAGAAAATTTGGTGGCTGACTAGATGCTTTCAAGGAAAATTAATGAGAAGCATGTTTCAGGGCATAAGGATGATCAGGTGTATTAGTTTGTTCCTGCATTGCTATAAAGAACTACCTGAGACTGGGTAATTTATAAACAAAAAGGGTTTAATTGACTCATAGTTTCATAGGCTGTACATGGCTGGGGAGGCCACAGGAAACTTACAATCACGGCAGATGGGGAAGGGGAAGCAGGCATATCTTACCTGACCAGAAAAGGAGGAAGAGAGTGAAGGGGAAGGTCCTACACACTTTTAAACAATCAGATCTCCTGAGAACTTACTCACTATCATGAGAATAGCAAGGGGGAAATCCATCCCCATGATCCAATCACCTCCCTTCAGGCCCCTCTCTTAACACTGGGGATTACAATTCGACATAAGACTTGGGCAGGAACACAAATCCAAACTATACAATTCCGTCCTTAGCCCCTCCCAAAACTCATGTCCTTCTCACATTACAAAATACAATCCTCCTTTGTCAATAGTCCTTCAAGTCTTAACTCATTTCAGCATTGACTCAGAATTCCATAGACCAAAGTCTCATCTGAAACAGGGCAAGTTGTTTCTGCCTATGAGCCTGTAAATCAAAAGCAAGTTAGTTAATTCTAAGATACAATGGAGGTATAGGCATTGGGTAAATACACCCATTCCAAGCATGAGAAAATAGCCAAAACAAAGAGGTATGGATATTTGATAAACATTCCCATTCCAAAATGGAGAAATTGGCCAAAAGAAAAAGGCTACAGGCCCCATACTAGTCCAAGAAACACCAGGGCAATCATTAAATTTTAATGCTTCAAAATACTCTCCTTTGATTCCATGTCTCACATCCAGGCCACACGATGCAAGAGGGGGTCTCCCAAAGACTTGGGTAGCTCTGCCCTGTGGCTTTGCAGGGTATAGCCTCCTTGGCTGCTTTCATGGGCTGGCGTTGAGTACCTGTGGCTTTTCTAGGAGCCCAGTGAAGACTGTTGGTGGATCTAATATTCTGTGGTCTGGAGGATGGTGGCCCTCTTCTCGCAGCTCCACTAGGCAGTACCTGAGTGGGAACTCTGTGTGGGGGTTCCAATCCCATATTTCCCATCTGCACTGCCCCACTAGAGGTTCTCCATGAGGACTTTGCCCCTGCAGCAGACTTCTGCCTGGACATCCAGTTGGTTCCATACATCCTCTGAAATCTAGGCAGAAGCTCCCAAGCTTCAATTCTTTTCCTCTGAGCACTTGCAGGCTTAACACCACTTGGAAGCCTCCAAGGCTTATGGCTTGCACCCTCTGGAGCAGTGGCCTGAGACACATCTGGGACCCATTTAGCCATGGCTGGAGATGGAATGACTAGGATGCGGGGAGCAGTGACCTGAGGTTACATGTGGCAGCAGGGCTCTGGGCCCAGCCTGCAAAACTATTCTTCCCTCCTATGCCTCCAGGCCTATGATGAGAGGGGCTGCCAGTGAAGGTCTCTGAAATTCCTTTGAGGCATTTTCCTCATTGTCTTGGCTATTAACATTTGGCTCCTCTTCACTTACGCAAATTTCTGTAGCCAGCTTGAACTCCTCCCCAGAAAATTGTTTTTTTCTTTTCTACTACATGTGTAGGCTGCAAATTTTCCAAACTTTTACACTCTCCTTCTTTTTTCAATGTAAGTTATTGGTCCATGTCACTTCTTTGCTCATGAATATAAGCTGAGGCTGCTGTAGCAGCCATGCCATATCTTGGAACTTTTTGCTGCTTAGAAATTTATTCTCCCAGATACCCTAAATCATCACTCTCAAGTTTCATGTTCCACATATCTCTAGGGCAGGGTCACAATGCCTCCAATCTCTTTGCTAACACATAACAAAAGTGACCTTTGCTCCAGTTGTCAATAAGTTCTTCATCTCCATCTGAGTCCATCTCAGCCTGGTGTTCATTGTCCATATTGCTATCAGCATTTTGATCACAACAATTTGACAAGCGTCTAGGAAGCTCCAAACATTCCCTCATCTTTCTGTCTTCTTTTGAGCCCTCCAAACTGTTCTAACTTCTGCCTGTTACCCAGTTACAAAGTCACTGTATTAGTCTATTCTCACACTGCTATAAAAAACTACCCGAGACTGGGTAATTTATAAAGGAAAGAGGTTTAATTGGCTCAGGGTTCTGCAGGCTGTACAAAAAGCATGATTGGCAGAGGCCTCAGGAAACTTAACAATCATGGTGGAAGGCATGGGGAGGTTGACATGTCCTACACCACTGGAGCAGGAGGAAGAGAGAGTAAAGGGGGAAGTGCTACACACTTTCAAACAACCAGACCTCATGAGAACTCTCACTCACCATGAGAACAGCAAGGGAGAAATCTGCTTCCATGATTCAATCACCTCCCACCGGATCCCCCCCACCACCACAACACAGGGGATTACAATTCAACATGGTATTTTGATGGAGGCACAGAGCCAAACCGTATCAGTTGTTTCCACACTTTCAGGTATCTTTATAGCAATGCCCCACTTCCTGGTACCAATCTTCTGTATTAGTCCATTCTTGTATTGCTATGAACAACTACCTGTGACTGGGTAATTTATAAAGAATAGCCGTTTAATTGACTCACAGTTCCACAGGCTGCACAGGAAACACAGCTGGGGATGCCTCAGGAAACATACAATAATGGCAGAAGGCAAGGAAGCAGTCATGTCTTACACGGCTAGAGAAGGAGGAAGAGATCAAAGGGGGAGGTGCTAGACACTTTTAAACAAACATGTCGTGATAACTCACTCACTATCATGAGAACAGCAAGGGGAAAATCTGCCCCCATGAACCAGTCACCTCTCAGCAGCCCCTTCCTCCAACACTGGGGATTACAACTTGACATGAAATTTGGGTGAGGACACAAATCCAAACCATATCACCAGGCTTTCTAGTCGTGTGTCTAGGTGGAAGATGATACCATCAGTTAATTTAAGGTAGGGAAATCTGAAAAGAATATGAAAAGGGAATGTGAAGGCGGGCAAAGAAGGATAATTGTGCCTTAATATTTTAGAAGTGAAACTGATTGGAAATGATTCCAAGTTATCTGTGTACATTTTATACCTAACTTGTACACGTTTAACATGCTTACTGTAAGATTTCTTTCAGCATGAATAAGGTTACCCTTAAGGACCTGGATAAGCTTGTGATTTGCTGAGGCTCCTCTGGAGGGATTGTGCAAAGAAGCAGAATCATGGACATCAGTGGCAAGCTAAGGAGGTGACGACTGCTTCCACTTATTGGTGATGGTTAGAAAGTTGAGAAATAGACATCTCTGAAATGTTTGTTTTTATCTATTATTAATCCAAATACTGTATTTAGCTATGAGATGAGAGCCTCTGTGGATAGGCAAGGCTCTATCCTGCAAAATGATTCAACAACCCACTTGGATGTCAGAGTAAATGTAAGGAGGGCGTGATATTAATCATATCAGGTAGAACCCTTCTCCTCCACTTTCTGAAAGCTTGTGGATCCTGTTGATCCCCCCACCAGGTACCTTTACTTGATGTTGAATTTATTGGGAAATGACGTTTATTCACTGAGATCAAAGAGTAATTTAGTACTTTCCAGTTTGGGTTAACAGTTCCTCTTGAAGAGAAACTTAAAAAGTTAAAAAGTGATTAGATCATTAATGATCAACTTTACCTTTTCATATTGTCTCCACCAGATACTCATCTTCTTTGCTCTATTGGTACAAAATCTTTTCAAGTTACAGTTTTACAAACAATAGTAATAACAGACAATTATTGCTAAGAAGAGTCATTATTTTCTAACACATTTTACTGTTTCAAATTTAATCTCTACAGATATAACCATTTGACAGCCTCTGGAGACAGAGAAGTAGGGGAAGTGGTACACCAGGAAGGAGAGGTGGCAGTGGAGCAGGCAGACAGCATAGAGCCAGAGCAGGAAATGTCACTGTGCTGTCCATGGGGCTTACCAGGCAGTCATCTAGGCAATTGACTCTTACCAGAACCATGAGAATGCACTACTTCCTCAAGCTTCTCTTTCATTCCAGGGACTCCAAGGGCTTATCAGAATCTCCCCAAACAATTCATCTACTGATATACACAACTTTACCTTTCATTTGTCAAATAGGAGTAACTGTCAAGACAGAGCTGACCATACCCAACTAGCTTTCTAAAGCTGATACTTGTACACTTGATACAAGATAAAAAGATAGTGTGTAGAACAAACGGCTCTTATCAGGTAATACAAGTAAGAATGGCCTAGGCAGAAGAGGAATCCTGCAGTGAATAGTAAACAATTAGATAACCATGTGTGGAGTGCCAATGTGGAAAGCACCTCAAGCCATTCCAGATCCAATGCCCAAGTGGAAAAGAACAGCCTCCATTAGTCTTGCATATACAACTCAAAAGTCAAGGGTCGCCAATGGTGTTCTCATGGGGCCATATAGACACAGGGTGATTCACTTCCTGGAACTGAAGGACTATGAAACCAGAGTTGCTTGTTTCAATGCAGAAAGACAGCCTTCAAAAAATAACAAGAACTCACTTGGAAAAAATTATGTACCAGGTAGCCAATCTGAATACCAAGAATATTTAATATGTCTTAAAAAATTATGTTTTCGAAGAGCTTCAAAGAGACTAGCCTAGACACAGTGGGCTAAACAGGCAGACATTGGAGTTGGTACTTTTCAGAAAAGTAGATCTATTTCAGAATGCTGCTAGTATCAATCACCCGGAATCATCTATAGTTCTAGTACAGATGACACATCATGTTCTCAGAAAGAGCTTTTCCATTTAGCTTTTATTGATCCCTTAAATAAATAATAAGTTAGAATATCTCTCTTGAAAATTATAGTACAGTCAACATCAAATGGTCATTTGAATAATACCAGTGAAAAATCTTCTGCAGGCGTTCTACCACCTTCTTCAGCTAATGCCAACCCCTCTTCACCACTGCCTGCAGCCCACCTTCCCATTTCAAAGCATCCCCTGCCTGTAAATTCCAATTGCCATTCTTGTAGAAAGACCTGGGATTCAATATCCATATGTTGACAGTTTTATATGGTTTGGCTGTAACCCCATCAAAATCTCAACTTGAATTGTATCTCCCAGAATTCCACGTGTTGTGAGAAGGGACCCAGGGGGAGGTAATGGAATCATGGGGGCAGGTCTTCCCTGTGCTATTCTCGTGATAGTGAATAAGTCTCATGAGATCTGATGGGTTTATCAGGGGTTTCCGCTTTTGCTTCTTCCTCATTTACTCTTGCTGCCTCCACGTGAGAAGTGCCTTTTACTTCCCGCCATGATTCTGAGCCATGTGGAACTGTAAGTCCAATTAAACCTCTTTTTCTTTCCAGTCTTGGGTTTGTCTTTATCAGCAGCGTGAAAACAGACTAATACACACTCTTAGTCAAAACAGTAGCATCTTTGAGAACCAGAAGAATAAACACACTTATTTGGAAATGTTAGCCTCTATTTTATTTCAAATGAAGTATCTGAAACTCATGGAGAGAAAACATTTGATGCCTGACCAGAATTTTAAATATAAATTTATAGAATGTAGAGCGAAGAGGCAAAAGTACAATACTGAGATGATGCAGGAACAGAAGACAGTTCATAAAAGACAAGATGAAGATGCAAAGCCAGACTCCAGTAAAAGAGATAAAATGGTTTGCCCTGCATTTGTGAAGACCTGTCCAACATCTTGGCTCCCAGATGATTTACTAAGTATTTCACTATAGTTTCCTCTGAGCAATGTCAGCATTATGAGCTGGAATTTATAGCAGAATATGATTAATATCAGGTCTTGTATGCCAAAATGCTGACGTTATCTAGCACAGTTATTAACCTAGATTCAAAAAGAAATCTCCTTTCTCCAGGTTCAAAAGAGTATAATGATATTAATTTTTAAAATCTCCCTTAATATCAAAAGATTAAATAGATTAATCACATTTTTTATGCAGGGAAATATAGATGCCTGTATCTTTATAACAAGCTGGTTCACATTAAAAGCAAGTACATCCATGGTACTAGTGCAACACTTGGATCAGAAAAAAAATAAGCTTATTTATTTAAAAATCCATGTATGCTCTCACTAATAAGTGGGAATTGAATAATGAGAACACATGGACACAGGGAGGGGGACATCATACACTGGGGCCTGTCAGGGGGTGGGGAGCAAGGGGAAGGAGAGTGTTAGGACAAATACCTAATGCATGCGGGGCTTAAAACCTAGATGATGGGTTGACAGGTGCAACAAACCACCATGCCACATGTATACCTATGCAACAAACCTGCACGTTCTGCACATGTATTCCAGAACTTAAAGTAAAATTAAAAAAAAATTCCTAATTACTTCCCATAAGGTTCTTTGTATTTAAGACAGAGTTTCACTCTGTTGTCCAGGTTGTAGTGCAGTGGTGCCATCACAGTTCACTGCAACCTCCAGTTCCTGGGCTCAAGCAATCTTCCTGTCTCAGCATCGCTCATAGCTGGGAGTACAGATGGATGCCACTATACCCAGCTAATTTTCTTGTAGAGACAGCGTCTCACTATGTTGCCCAGGCTGGTGTTGAATTCCTGGGCTCAAGCAATTCTCCTGCCTTGGCCTCTCAAAGTACTAGGATTACAGGTATGAGCTACCACACCTGGCCCTTCCTGTGAGATTCTTAAGGGATGAAACTTCTTTTTCTGTAGAAACTTTCAGTATTATTATTTTAATTTTAATTTTCTTCTTTCTTATTTTAATTTTAAATTTTGACATTTATGTTTATTTTATTTATTATTATTTAATTTTCATTTTATTTTATCTTAATTTTTATGCACTTTTCAAGCCATTTCATCTCTTCCTTTTTACTCTCAAAATTTGTGTTTCCAGTTCTTTCTAAAAAATATTGAGGATCCAATGTCTATGAATCAAAATTATATACGTTAAAAGAAAAAAAGCCTATAGTGAGTAACGTTCAATGTTTTCAGTTTTTTTTTGGACCTAGCTTTTTTTTGGACCATTTTTTAAATAACTATAGAAGCTGTGAGTTAAAGCATTCTTAATACAAACTCACCCTTAACATAGAAATTTAGAAATTTCCACAAAATAATAAGATTCTTCAAACAATAAACATTTTCATTTCATTATATTTATTCATTGTCTTTGATTGAAACTGTCACTTGTTTTTATCTTGAGAGAACACAAGCTGTGCAAAGAATTCCAACTAATGATTCAAATTGTGTTGTTTTTTTCAAAGCATTGCCATTTGAAACGGGAAGCATCATGTTTACAAATCTGAGTTTTGAAATGCTTCCCAAAATTTGCTTGTTGTCTTTAGTAAATATTTATCTCTACCATCTAAAAGATAATTGGTACATATCAAAGAATATAAGTAACAGTTACACACATTAGAAAGCCTAATTATAAAATGAATACTTGTAAACTCACCATGCAACTTAAGAATTAGAGCATTTCCAATCTTTGTATTTCTTTCATCTAACCTGTGCCCCTGCCTCCTCGTAGTGGCAACTATTTCCCACATTTATGTTTATTTCTCCATTGCTGTTTGCTTTTAATACAACTTTTATAAACATACTTAAACAGTAATATTGTTCAGTTTCTTATCTTTATGAAAATGATGTTACACAGCATATAGTCATCTGCAGCTTTCTTCAACCAACCTTATGCTTTTAGGATTTATTTATTAGACTGATGTGTATAGCTATAGTTTATTCATTTTTCTCTTAGATATTGTGACTGTAGCATAATTTAGTTATTCATTCTCTTATTGTTACAGATTGGGTTATTTTGCATTTTTGTTATTACAATGTTGCTGTGATTTTTTTTTGCATGTTTACCCCTTTGCAATATGTGTGCTCATATTTTCATGTTTTTAAGTCTCTATTTTATACCCCAAGAGTATTTAGTATTCTTGTTTTTAATGGTCAATATTTATTTAAATTTATATGCATTTCTCATTGTTTTTCAGGCCCTTCTTCATTTTCTTATTTCCTACTGAGATAATTTTCTTTCTCCTTGAATAGCTGCCTTTATTCTTTTATGTGTGTCTGCTGGCAGTGAATCTTAGTTTTTTAGTATGCATATGTATTTAATTGCTTTTTGAAGGACATATTTACTAGATATAGAATTCTAAGTTGGTGGTTATTTTCTTTTGGCAGTATAAGAATATAATTTCATTTTGTCTTGGCTTTTTCATTTTTGATGAATAATTAGCTATTGATTTTATCGTTTCTCCTTTCATAGTAATGTGTCTATCTATAGTCTTTTTAGGATTTTCTCCATGTTTTTGGTGTTTAGTAGTACTATTAAGATGTGTGTAGTTGTGATGTCTGTTATTTATCTTGCTTGGATGCAGAATGCTTCTTGAAACTAAAGTTTGATGCAATCCACTAGGCTTGGAAAATTATCTGCTAAAATTTCTGTAAATATTGCTTCTTTTCCATTTTAAAATTTTCTCTCCAATTTCTTTATGTCTTTTATGATAATCTGTATATTTTCTATTCTTTTTTCTCTGTATGTTTCAGTCTTTATATTTTTGACTGGCCTATATTCAAGCTCTCATCTTTTTTCTCAGTAATATGTCACATGTTTGGTCGAGAAAAGTTGCTTCTTTATACACAATATTGTAATGAGTTAGACTAGAGGTATACAGACTTGAAATGGGAAGTGAAGGTGTTGGAATAAAGGTGAAACTACAAAATGACAATAGATAATATCATGCCAAATAAACAGTATTTAAAATCACTGTCTGATTTACTATTTATATTTCCATTATTCTCATACTCACAAGTTTTGAAATACAAAGCAAATTATTCTGAAATAGGATTATAGTAATAAAGCCTAATACCTATATGAAGAAATATTGAATTCTGTACAGGAAAATTGATAGTTAGAATTTTACCTAATTTACAGAATTCTTGGCTTTGTTCCAATTTGTTTATTTGTTCATTCTCTTCTACCATAGTCTTTAATTATTTCAACTTGTTCTTTTAATGCTAGATATCAACTACTACAGCATAGAAAAGTGCTACTCAGTAAGGACTTTGTATATAAGCAGTTATGCAAATTCAGATTAAAAAGTAAAATTTCTGTTTTACATTTTTCATCTATATGGGGACAATAGTAGTCCTTAATTCATAGTTATTATGACTATTTAGCAAGTATCTATCTATTTATCTACCTATCAACTATTATGCATCTATGATCTAGCTATGTAGCTGTCAATGTATCTAGCTGTATTATCACTTAGGAGAGTTCCTGATGCACAATGGATACTATTGAAAGACAAATGTAGCCATTACTCTTATTTTTTATTGTATTATTTATTTGTTGCTATGTAGCATTATTACAAACATAGAAGCTCAAAATGACTAATTATCTCACAGATTGTGAGGGTCAGAAGCCCAAGCACAGCTTAGGTTATTCCTCTGCTTCAGGATTTCTCATTATGCTACTTATTTTATTATTTATTTATTTATTTATTTATTTATTTATTTATTTTTTGAGACAGAGTTTTGCTCTTGTTGCCCAGGCTGGAGTGTGATGGCGCGATCTCGGCTCACCGCAACCCCCGCCTCCCGGGTTCAAGGGATTCTCCTGCCTCAGCCTCACGAGTAGCTGGGATTGCAGGCATGCGCCACCATACCCAGCTAATTTTGTATTTTTAGTGGAGACGGGGTTTCTCCATGTTGGTCAGGCTGGTCTTGAGCTCCCAACCTCAGGAGATACACCCACCTTGGCCTCCCATAGTGCTGGGATTACAGGTTTGAGCCACCGCACCTGGCCTTAAGCTACCTTTAAGATGTTGGTGAGAGCTGTGTTCTCATCTGAGGCTCAACAAGGGAAGAATTCACTTCCAAGCTCACTTGTGGGATTTCTGACAAGATTCAGTTCCTTTTGATCTTTGGACTGGAACCTCAGTTGCCTCCAAGCTGTTAGCTGGATATAAGCTTCAGTTCTTTTTTATGAGGGACTCTCCGTGGGGCAGCTCACAACATGGCAGCTGACATCATTAAAGCTATCAAGGGATACACTCTGCTAGCAAGATGGAAGTTACAATGTTATGTAACGTAAGTATGAAAATGACATACTATCACTTTTGGCTACATACTATTTGTTAGAAGAAAGCCACAAATGCTGTTACCTATACTCAAAGGGAGGTAATCACACAAAGATGAATGCCAGGAGGTGGGATCTTTGGGGGTTATCTAACAGTCTATCTGCAACAACTGTCATCACCCTTAAGAAACTCAGAAATATCTTCAGTTGTATGGTGGTGAGTAGGATAAAAAAAAAAGAAATTTAGAAATAGTTCTTCTCAGGCAGCCACTTTTTACTATTCCCTCTTTTAACACAGTTCATTAGGGCCTCACATCTAATACTGAATATGAACAAGAAAGAAGTTTATTTTTTATAAAATTCTTTGGGACAATACATGCTTATACATATTGATTTCTACATCGTCAGAATGTCTCTCAAATAAGACCTCAAAACTTATTACAAGAGATAATCTTTGAAAATGTAAAATTTTTGATGCAGTGTTCTTCTTTAAACCAGTATAAAGCAACATCACAAAATCTTTTTAGCATATGACTGATAGGTTAAAACCCCACCTCACCTTTAGAATGAAAATAATATTTTCATTTACTGAATGATTCCATTTTAAAAATAATATCCTTCTGGATCATTTTACGTATCAAATGTCATAAGAATTCCTCTGGGCTACGTATTTACTTATTAGCATTTATATTTATATTCCCTAAAAGTGACCTTAAAAAGTATCTTATGTGCTTCATAAAACCTCTGCTATTTCTGAAAGGTCAAGGTAGTTTATTTTGCTTGACAAGACATATGCCTTGATCTTCTTTATCTAAGACGAAATTTTAGGCTGATCCCATTCAAGCTTTACAAATTCAGCTCAAGAAGCTGCACCCAAAAGTGCAGGACCTCTGCAATTTCTACAGGCTTCTTTTATTTCATAGCTACCTGGATTTCCTCACCTAGAAAATGTCTTGCCTCATAGTGAGGCATATCTGTCTGCACTGGATTTCAAGGACTATGACTGGTCAGGAAATTCCTGCCAGGAGGGATGGGTTGGAGGAGTCAGTGTTTAACAACATTAAAAATTTCATTAGCTAAAAGACCGGGAAGCTAATGAACACCTGGAGGGGTGGGACCAGCCTGAAATCCTGAATAAATACAGGTGGAAACTTCATTTCTAGTCAAGGTGTTCTATGGCAGTTGGGGGAAAAACTACCTAAATGTATTGAGTACCTAGCAGGGTTGGATGCTTGGGAAGATGGGTTAATAATGCGGTTCTGAGGCCAGGTGTAATGGCCCATGCCTGTAATCCTAGCACTTTTGAGAGATGAGGTGGGAGGATCACTTGGGCCCAGCAGTTCCAGACCAGCCTGGGCAACATGATGAGACACTGTCTCTATGATTTTTTTTTTAATGAATCAGGCATGGTAGCACACACCTGTAGACCTAGCTACTTGTGTGGCTGAGGTGGAAGGATGACTCGAACCAGGGAGGTCGAGGCTGCAGTGAATGATAATCATGCCACCGTGCTCCAGTCTGGGAAACAGAACAAGACTCTGTCACAACAAAATAAAAAATAAATATAATGCAGTCTCTGACTTAAGGGCTATTTAATAGCATAAATAAAGAAGTAATAAAATACACTGTTATGATAAGGGAGGAGCTGAGAATGCTGGAGGGCAAAGGTAGAGAACAATAATTGTAGTGGTTGCCTTTCATGGAGTACCTTCAGCTACTATGCTAAGTTCTGTACAATAACTGTCTGATTTAATTAATAGTCCATTGCAGTCAGATAGATATTATCGTAGCAATTTACAGAAGAGAAAATTATGGCTTGTAAAATTATAGTATTTTGATCAGAGTTTTAGGAATAGGTAATAAGACCTAGAGATTCAAACTCAATTCCATTTAATTTAAAACACCTAAGTGAGAAAGTCCAACTAAGCATGTTACTGACAGAGATTTCAATTGAGCAGATAATCAAAATATACAGCAAGAAAGACTTGTTGCCTTCTATAGCATTGTGGCAAGAGACTAGGTTTTGTATTCATAGCTGAATTCATTGAATCATGGCTGCCACTTGATGCAATTTTCAACAAGTTACAGGAGAGTTCTGAGGATTGGCTTATCTATATTTTCATGATAATAATACATCACAAGGTTATTGCAAGATAAATAGTCAATAAAATAAAATTGATTTTGTTAGGATTACTTTTCCCTGTTAGATGTGGGCAACAAAAGTGGGCAAGTGTGTATTACAGACTAGTGGTCAAATTGGCTTAAAAAGTTATCTGAAGAATAAGGGATATTTCCTGTGGCTTGGGATCCATAGAGAAACACTTTGGTTAGAAACATGGAAAACACGTCAAGTGAATTTTTTGATGAGCTCAAGTGCATGAGGTTTAGGAAGTAAAACTAAATTTGTGGATGGAAGCTTCTCCTAGTATATGTAGATAAAAGAATAAAAACAGGTTTTTCTTCTAGTTCATGACCAAAACTTAAGGGAAGTATACCAGCTAGGCATTTTCTTAAAGTGTCACATCTCCTCTGAGAAGCGGTGTGATAAAGTTGACAGTCAAGGTGAATAGTGACTTGGGGACCAGTATTCTCTTCTTTTGCTTAGTTTTCTCAAGTGAGCCATTCAATAGGGATATGTTGATCTGTCCACATTGGACAGAAAAGCTAGTATACATGCATTATCTGTGTGAGGTGGTACAAGGGATATATCACTACTAGTGGTGGTCATTAAGGATATGATATGGAAAATGTAATTGCTAAAGAAGACAATATAGAGAAAAGAGCCAATAATTTGTCCTGTCTTAGGGAAGGTAGTGACATTTAGGTATAAGAGGAGGAACAGAAAGTAGCAGAGGAATGGCCAGAGAAGGAGAATGGAGACTTCAATGGCTAGGAGCCAGGTAAAAAGGTGATCCACAGTTTCAAATGATGCAGAGAAGTCAAGGAGGAATATTACTTAAGTTTAGCTTTCCACAGAACAGCATAAACATATAGAACTGTGGGAATCTCGGACCATATAAGGAACCCTGATGCCTTCCTAACAAAAATCAAACCATACACGTATTTCAGTTCCAGAGACTTTCAATATATTTACTTAATTAAAAAGGTATTTAGTAATTTAATTGATGACAAATGATTATTTCTAGGTGGACTGGATCCATATGTAGTAAGAATCTGGAGTCTTGTGACACTATTACTCCCATCCAAAGTATATAACATATGAAGAATATTTAACTATTTTTCCACTGGTAAATAGAGCTGTGTTTCTCAGATGAGATGATCTTGATGGTGAAACTGAAATGTGTTTGATGTCTATGACATGTTTGATTGTTTTACGTTACATAGTGATACTTAATTTAAGTAAATGATGGATCTGCATTGTTTATAAGCTTCATCAAATTTCCCTCATCATTTTAAGAAAAATTGTTCATAAAGTTTTTCACTATCATCTCTACAGTTTTCACTGTCAGAAATATGCATAAATGTTGTTGTTGTTGTTGTAGCCTTGGGATAAAATAATGCTTTAGAAGTCCTGAGCCCTGAGTATGAAATAAACATGTATTGATAACTATTTATAGAAAATAACTTTGAGATATTAGCAAGATAAACATCTATTATATTCTGTGGCTTTCTAGATACATATTTTATATATTTCATTTTTATACCTTGCCTTTTAATGGAAGTATTTCTAATATTGGTTGAAAATATTGCTTCTCCTGTTTTGCTAGCCTTGAAAGTATTTAAACAGTATTACTTTTTTAGCCTAAGTCAATGCTTCTTTTGCAAAATATATTATCAGAATTTAGAAGTTAATTAATTACTTCTTAATTTCGCTTGGAGAAATCTTTGATCATAAACTCAATACTTGTTTTTCTGTCATTCTCCTTAAGCAAAAATGAGTCTTTCCCAGGGATAGTTGTGGTTTAGAGTGATGTCTTCTTTTTAGTCCAATAATCTATTCCCTCCGTAGACTGTCCTGCTTTCAAAAAGATGAGGTATCAAAACCTGACTTGAAATCACCCTTTTCAGATCCATGTCCTTGGCTGCCCTTTGACTGCCATATCCTTGGCTGCCATTTGGCTGTCATTTCCTTGGCTACCATAGGTGCTTACTTGATACAAAATTGGCTTTTCTCACTCATTAAAGGTGTTTAAACTGAAAGGCTTGATTTTCTCTTTGCTTTTCACAATCCCTCAAATTAACCTTCACTAAAAAAGAAGAAGAGATATAGTGATGTCTTAACTACCTGTTCCAGTGACACTTTCTGTCAAAAAATAAGTAACTTTCAAATTGAAACCAAATGTCTGGCACAGCTAGCTCATGAGCATTTGTGATCGGTCTTGACTCTTCTCATGGCTGCTTTAGCCTTTGATAAGGGTAATTTAGCTCCAATATAGAGATAATTGGTAAGTTGGGCTTCCTGTGAAACTGTCAGAGAAAGTTGGTTACTTAGTTACCACAGGCTTCTCAATCTTTTTCATCTGTATCTCACAGCAGAAACATACATAAACGGTATAAACAGCTAAGCATTGTAAATTGTGTCATCACTGGGCTTCTGATAGTATGGTGCGGGGAGCCAGTATATTTGAATTTATCCTTCTTAAAGTACTTTTCAAATGGCTACAATATATAGGACCCTGTATGTGTGGTTAATTCCCTAATAAGAAATGAATCAAGTCGGTATTAACTTAATAAAATATGATACGTAATCTTATTTACCTGAAAAGATCACCATGTGACATGAAAGTTTTGATACTGATTTGTAAAATTCAAAAGTTAGACCTATGCAATCAATTATTCAATTGTGTTGTGTCTTAGGATTTATACAGAAACACTTGAGTTAGCAACATAGAAAAAATCAAATCGATTGTTTGATGAAATCAAGTGCCTGAAGTCTTTGAAAGTAACCCAAAACGAGAAGAGAAACTTTACCCATTCTATACAGATAAAAGAATAAAAACAGAATTTATTGTAGTTTGTGACCAAAACTTCAGCAAATATTTTCAGTCAGGCATTTCTTACAATGTCACATTGTCTGTTGGAAGCAGTGTGATGAGGTTGACAGTGCAGTTGACTGGAGACTCCACAGACCAGCATTCTATTCCCATTCCAGATTTTCTCAAGCAAGTCATTTACCTTGTTTATATGAGGTTCTTCTGAAATATATTTAAAAATAAATGCTGTTTCTAAATCATTTTGAACTGCATTGAATTCTTTGGTACGATTTCATGAGTGCAATTCATTATATCATTGAGCTTATTAGTAAGAGAGTCTCTGATACATGATTAAAATCTTTCACAGATGAGAAAACCAAACTCCAGAGAAATAATTTTCTTATAGATGTCTTTTTCAGTCTTGGCACTATTGACAGTTTGATCTGCATAATTTCTTGCCACTTGAGTGGGGTGCCCTGCACATTGTAGAACGTTGAGCAGCATCTCTGGCCTCTACTCATTAGATTCCAGTAGCAACTCCCTGACCCGAGTCATAACTACAAAAAAAGTCTCCAGATATGCCAAATGACCCTGGGAGAAAATCCCTTAATTGAAAACCACTGGCCTAAGTCATGCGACATGATAGTGGCTGAGTTAGAAATGAAGTTCAGGCCTGCTGGCTCTTACTATGGTGGTATTCTTGCTCAGTCACACTATCTTACATACTAATTGGTATGTTGAGTGGAAGTAGATATCAGGGAGAGGGAGGAGTGAGAGAGAGAGAGCAAGAAAGGGAGAGAATAAAGAAGCAAGGCATTCTGAGGATCGGATTCTGGGGCAAGCAGCAAGAAGAGTCAAATGGAAGATATTAAAATATTAGAAATGTGCAGAAAAGTACATGTGGTTGTCCAGAAACCAAGGCAAGCTAGAAGCCAGAGTCTACCAATCCAGGTCTCATTAACGTAGGCTCAACTCTTAATGAAGTTACATTCTGTGTCCTTCTTCTCTCAGGGCCTTGAGTGTCCCTGTGAGTGTGTAATCTTTGGAGTGGATTTTGGTCATTCTGAATGCAGAAGCCTCCCAGTGCTCCCCTGGGGCCTTCAGGTTTTCTCCTGAGCTTGCTTTTAGGATTCTCTACCACTGGATATTGCACACAGATTCTGACGGGAAAGCACTGACCCACTCCTGGACACTTAGGGGCTGTTGGCTGATTAAAATTTACTCTATTTAATTTGGCAGATTGATCCATTGAGCATCTGCTTGTGTGTGTGATTTTATTTTATTTTTATTTTACTTAATTTCCTCATCTTTACTGAGATAAAACAGACAAATAAACATATATACTTAATATGTACAGTGTGATATTTTAAAATATATACATACACATTGTGAAATAGTTAAATCAAACTAATTAACTTATTCACCACCTCACACTTATTTTTGTGGAGAGAATATTTAAGATCTGTTTTCTTGACAATTTTCAAGTATACAGTATTATTATCTGTAGTCACCATATCGTATAATAGATCCCATGAATGTATTCTTCCCATCTAACCAAATTTAGATTCCCTTCATTTTTAAGGCCGAATAGTATTCCATTATATTGCATTTTGGGTGTGAGAGAGTTAATGATAGCTCCACATTTTGACCTGAGAGATTGTAAAGATGGCATATTTGTCTTTCCTCATATTTCTACAAAGAAATATTTGAGACTGGGCAATTTATAAAGGAAAGATGTTTATCTGGCTCATGGTTATGCAGGCTGTACAGGAAGCATAGTGGCTTTTGCTTCTGGGGAGGCCTCAGAAAGCTTCCAATCATGGAAGAAGGCAAAGGGGGAACAGCCGTATTACATGGGAGGAGCAGGTACAGGAGGTCAGAGGGAGGTCCCACACACTTTTAAATGACCAGATCTCAAAAGAACTCACGATCACAAGGACAGTCCCAAGAGGCATGTTGCTAACCCATTCATGAGAAACCGCCCTCATGATAGAATCACCTTCAACCAGGCCCCACCTCCAAAACTGGGGATTACAATTTGATATGAGACTTGGCAGGGACACAGATCCAAACTATATCAGATGGTTGTGAAATGGAGGAGCCTGTGTAATTAACGGACTTGAGGGAAGATAAGGAGCATTGTGTGGTACAGTTTATATTTCAGATGCCATTAATTATACAAGAGTTTATATAAATTTTGACTTAAGGAGAGTTATAAGATGGAGATATGTATGTGGGACTAATCAACCTATAGCTACATTTAAAACATCAATACTGGACGGAATCATAAAATGTATCAAAAGAGCATTCAAAGAATGAGCCCTGTGGTACTCCAGTCTCTGGAAGTTTAGTGAAATGGGAAGGAATTTGCTAAGGAGACTGATTAGAAATGGCAAGTGCCATAAAAATGAATGCCAGGAGGGCATAGTTCCATGGAAACAAAGTGAAGGGACCACGCAAGGAGGGATGATTAACTGTGTCAAACACTTCTGGTAGAAAGAAAGAAAATAGGGGGTAAGAAAATAATTTAAATATGTGGAAGTTATTTGTAACATTGTCTAGTACATTTTTGATGGAATAGTAGAATTGAAAGTCTCATTGGAATGGGCCCAAGAAAGTATGAGAGGTGGGGAATTGGAAACCTTGAGTGCAAGCAATTCATTTGAAGAACTTTGAGATTATAAGGAACAGAGAAACAGGGCTAGAGCTTCAAGTAAATGTAGATTCAGAAGTCTTTTAAGATAAGAGAAACTGTAGTATGTCTCTGTATCGATGTGAAAAATCCAACAGAGAGAAAAATTACAAAGATTCTGGAAAGAGGGAAGAATTGAGAAAGTGGTGTTCTTTTCTTGGTTAGGGTCTTACACAAAAGTGGAAAAGATGATCCTAGAATGGAGCACAGACAATATATCAATATTAATAGAAGAAAGGTAGAGCATATATGCATATTTGCCAAAAGATATATAAGATATGTTATAATTTAACATATAAGATATGGTTTGTGAAATTCTGCTTTACTCTCTCTCTTCTTTCCTCCTCCTCTTCCAATCAGTGCCATTAGCTGAGAGTGAAGATTGGGAAGGAAGTGTTGGACATTTGAAATAGGAGGAAAATGCACAAAATAGATTTCTATGACAGTGGGGAAAGGAGTGAACTATAGAAACACATTACAATTGCCTAGTGTCATTAAGGTCCTTGACTAACTTCATGAGGTGTAGAATGGTAATCCTCCTAGGTTTCTAGAAGTGAAGGAAAACCAGATACTAGTAAGCAGATATAAAGACTATCCCACTGATAGACTGTGGAATTCAATCTAGGGGTAATTGAGGATGCAACAGGGCAAGGGATAGTAAAACGTTACCAGGAGAAATGCGCCTTGGTGGGGAAAAGATAATTGGAATTTCAGTACTAGAAGAAGTACACTGAAATTATAGGATACGGTAGTCAGAATGGGATTCTGGAAATTGAAGTTATAAGGTAGTTATATTTTTGGTTATGACAAGGTCTAGGATATACCCATGGGAGTAGGTGGATAAGACTGGGTGGAAGCCAAAATCATTTGAGAAGAGGACATTTTAAAAGTGAAATTTTAGGGTACTTGAAGCATCATCCATGTGGATAATGCAAGTATCAGTAACTATGGCTAAAATAGTCCTAGAGAGAGTGACGATGTGTCAAGATAAAATCTCCAAGAAATAATGAAGAGTGACACCGGAGTCTCCAAATGGTTGCAACAGGGAAAGACAGAGTGATTTAGTTTGATAATATAATATTCAAAGCAAAAAGTTTGAAATATGAAGAAAGGAAAATATAATTAAACTATTTTATAAATAGTTGGGAGATCCTTGGCCATTTTAAAGGTTATTAAAAAGAGAATATTGACTATTAATCTGCTATGATTATCTTCTTTTAAATTGCTAAAGTCACTCTGGTTAATTATAATCTCAGTTACCAAATTATAACGTTTGTTGAGATAATTAGTTGACTGTTCAGCAGTCATCTCTGATTTACCTGTAGTTCATTAAATATGGGGAGAATCTTCAAAGTAGAAATGTGAAAATAGAAACCGGAATTCATTTTATTACCAGAAGAATGTGAAAATCTGGGCTAAAATGATTCACCCAAGATTATAATGTTAATCATTAGCACAGCCAAAAATGAAATAAAACTAAAGTTCCTGAGTTAAAGTTGGTGGATTTAACCAATAAACAAAATTAAATGAAACAAAAACAACAGTAGCAATAAAAATAAACACAAAAGAAAACAGAATGGTTAGTTAAATTTTAATTTCAGGTAAACATCAACGTTTTAGTATTAGTACGTCTCAAATATTGCCATGAAATATACTTATACTAAAAAATCATGTATTTTCAACCCTGTCCTGATTAAGTCAGTTCACTTGTTGTCTCTGCCCCTATCCAATAGTGCTAGGTAACCTAGCTGTGTAAGTTACATTGTGTGTGTCCATGTGTTCGGGGAATGTTGTTATACCGTAAGAAAAATGGCTGTTTTCTTGGTACTTATGCATGGTACTTTATGAGAGCTGGAGGCAATTATAACAGAAAATCAGATAAGCCAAATAAATTTAGTGATGGGTAAAGTATTTGTTTAAAAGCTCATCAGAGTAAGAATGAGCCTATGAGCTCATCAGATTAAGTATGCAGACTAAATATGCATCTCTTATAAGAACTGTTTCTTGTTTCTCTTTCTAATAGTCTAATAATTCAAGAGCTTCTTGTCAATAATAGTTACAATTTCTGTGAAAAGAAGAAACATTGTTGGAGGTCAGTCAAGTGTACTCATCTTTACCATTTTCCTTGCCATGGTTGTTTGTATTTATTTAAAATCACATAATTAGCATAATTATTATGACCCAGGACAGTAAATGTTCACTTACCTGCACATATTTTATATTAAACCTTTTTTAAAAAAAACTATTGGCTGATCTTTTTCAGCAACAGAACATTTGGTTCCATAGCAATTCAAATTATTTCTAAATGACTTACCAGATCATTAGAGATTATAGTTTACTCCTGGACAAAATTGATCCATTTAAATAGAAAATGATTTGTTCCCAGATTAACACAACCTTAGCATTTCAAGCTATTGACTAAAAATGTCAGTCTTTCACGTTGCAAATGAATAGACTTACACTTACCAAAATGATGAGGCACCAAAATGGTGAGATACCTAAGCAAATTGTGGTTGGTTTCTCATCAGTTTCCACAAATGGCATTTTTTAAACAAACAGATATAAAAACATTATTTACTTGCTATTCATTTGGCTTTGCTCATGTTCTTTACTTAATTTAAATTGGGATTAATTAGTTACTAGACATCCTTTTTATAATGACCTGCAATTTCTTCATCTTTAAAATACATGAGATAACATAATATTTTAGTTTCTTAAATGCTAAAAAAGTGCTCATTCACAGACATAAGAAAATAAATTGTGTAAGGCAATATTAAAATATTAATTAGAAAGTTAAGAACCTCAATAACATTTGGTTAGTACCTACACTTCCCAGTGGCAATAAGGATTTCAGAAATTGATGTTATCTTCATCAGGTTAATAATAATAATTTCTCTTTACTCCAGACTGTATATATTATATAGTCTGTTTTTCATAATGAAGCCTTGAAATTATTTTGAATCTAGAAACTAAATATCAGAAAGATAGTTCAGCATCATTTAGCTGGTAGAGCTGGGATACAAACTCCAAAACCTGTGATCTATCCACTGTGAAGTTACATACAGCCTTTCAAAAAAAATACAATACTGGTTAGTGATGTATTATGCAAGAAGTTTTCTGATCATTATTATAAGTTTATAACAACTTATATTTATATAATGCTTATGTAATAAGTCCTTTTATTCTACATTATCCTTACACTACTTCAATTTCATTTGAAAATCATATCAAGCCTCAGAGATAGATACCAATATTACCAGTAGATACCAATGTTACCATGAAATAGCCAAGAAAATACATGATGTTGCCAATATCACAGGTGAAGCAACAAAGCAAAAGTAAGATCCTGATCTTTTGTCTCAAAGGTATTCTACTACACCACCCTGAAAATGCACTATGGATGCTGTCCTTACTTTGCCTGGGCTCTGACTGTCTGCACTAAGCATCCCTATTTTACAGATATTTCCATTATCCCATTTAGTTTCTGATACCTACTTTTTATGGTGGGTGCTCACCTGACATTATGACATTACTCAGGCTTTGACAATCTTACCTGCACCACCATAGCTTCTCCCGGACTTTAGGCATGGCGCCCTGCCTTACTTTGCTCATTTAATGTCTTTACAATTGAATTGTCCTGAACCAGAAAAAGAAGAGGAAAGGCTCTTAAGGAATATGGTTCCAGAAAGAAGGGAAATACACAAAAACAGTTCCACTCTTACTCAGCTTACCCTTTGCAGTTTTCAAACTAGGAAATGCTTCTTAGTTTGCTGAAAACAAGTGGCAGTCTTACTGAACTAAGGGAGATGTAATTCAGAACTTGGGACTGTCTAAATGAATGGATACTAAAGGGGAAATTTTTCTAGAGAGGAGAACCACAGAACGGGCAACTCCTAATCTGTGTTTCTCATAAAAGACATAGTCGGCTCACTCCGAAACATCATAAAAGCAGGTAAAGAATTTAAAGAGCCAGCAGAAATTTGCAACTGGTAGGCTAAAGAGTAAAACAGTGATCTCAGCTGCTGTGTCCTTAAGTGATCCTGCCACCTCAGCCTCCCAAAGTGCCGGGATTACAGGTGTGAGCCACCTTACGAGCCTCCTCTTCTTTTTTTTTTTTTCTTCATATTCAGTATTGCCAAAGTATGTCAATTTTGTCTTTCCAAAGGATACACTTCCAGCTTTGTTGATTCTCTTCATTGTTTCATATTTTCATATTTTGTTAATTTTAGCTCAGATCTTTATATTTTTTTCAAACTTTTAAATAAACGAGATTTAGCTCATGTATTTTCATTATTATTTTCTAATATACACATTCAGTATAACTTTTTCCCATGAAGTACAATGTTAGAGGCATTGCACAAGTTTTGTATCCATTTTAATTATCTTTTATCTAAGTATTTTGTAAGTGGTTTGAGTTTATTTAGAAGCAAGTGTTTTAGTGCATAGTTTCAAATTTTCATTTTTAAGTTATTTTTTAGTGATTGCTTTTTAATAAAAGGTAATGCTGGTTAGAAGATAGCTTATGTTTTATGACATTTATTTAATATTTATTGAAACTTGCTTCATGGCCTATCACATTATCAATTATTGGAAATCTCTCACATGGGCTTAACAGAAAGGTGTGTTCTCTCCAATTGTCAAGTAAAGAGTGCTGTTAATACATTAAATCAAGTTTTTAAATGTTTTTTATTTTAAATTCTTTTAAATGTTTATTAATTTTGTCTTTCTCTCTTTGACTGCTCAATAATTAAGGGGGACATGTTGACATCTACCGCTGTGTTTGTAGATTTGCCAGTATTTGTCTTTATATCTACAATCTGTTCTTTACATATTGTGAGGCCTTTTTAAGTTCAAACAAATTTTGAATTATTATAACATTTATAATATCGTAATTTGTACCTTTATCATTGTATAGAGGCACTAATTATCAATAATAACATTTTTGTCTTGTGGTTTATTTTGTCTGATATTAATAGAGCTAATTTATTTTTAGTTTAGTACTCATTTAATATATATTTTCCGTGCATCTATTTTCTATCTTTATGTATCTTTATATTTTATGATTTAATTTTTAAATTCAATCTGATAATTTCTATCTTTAACTTTTAAATCAAATCAATTAACATTACATTTGATTATGGGTAAAATTTGATTTATTTTTGCTACCAAAAGTTATTCTTTCTATTTACTTTGATTAATCTGTGCTTCATTTTTTCTCTCCTTTTTAGCTTTTTAATGAGCTGATCATTTTTTAAATCATTGTTTTATTTTTGCCAATTTGAAGGATATATAAATTTATTTTCTATTCTAGCTAATCTTGCCATCTTAAAATGTATACATATGGTAGACATTTCTAGTGGCTAAATTAATTCTATTCTGTGTCCAGCTAAAAAGTCTGTTTTACTCAGGATCTCAGACAAGTAGGAGTGGTAATGCCACCCACTTTGGGTTAGCAAGTTTTAAGCTGCAGTCTACTGTGTGGGGCTTTCATAAAGCAACTGTCTTCCTGATTAAAAAAAAAGCGGGGTGGGAAGTTATCTGACTGGTATTTGCCTTTTCACTTTTACTCTTTACTCTTCTTCCTACCCAGAATATCAGGCAGAACAGTCATCTTGTAAGCATGAGACAGACTACCACACTCTAAGTTTGGCAGTGAAGGAAGTAAAACAGAGTCTGTGTTACTGGTGAATTTGCACATCTGTAGTATGGTCCTCAACTACCTTCCTCTGTACTCTAAGAGAATCCAGACTCAGAGACTCCATCTGAGAAACTCTAAGAGAATAAAAAATCATCTTGGATTTTTTTTTCTATTACATACAGCTTCTAATAGTTAAAGATTCTAAAATCACATATTCTTTTCTCAAGCAGTAGAAACACCTTAGAGTGCTTTAATTCTAATCATCTCAGTAACATTTTACTTGTTATTTCTGCCCAGTATTTTAATCCTGCACGGAGCCTATATCAGTGTCCCAATCAGAGATAATCATAAACAACATTTCCTCTATACATGCCCTCCATAAAGAACATTTCCTTTAAGAGATAGTCCCAGGGTGACACTTGCCCCTGGGGATTCTGCCCTCCCAGGAAACTGTGACACCAGATGTGCAGATATCAACATATGAACACAGGAAACATGAAAAAGGAAAGAAATGTGGCACCTCCAAAGAAACACAATAATTCTCTAGTAACAGATCCTGATAAAAAAGAAATTCATGAAATCCTCAAAACAGAATTCAAATTATTGGTTCTAAATAAGCTCAGTGAAATACAAGTTAATTCTAAAAATTGATAGAAAGGGATCAGATAAACAATTCAGGATATGAATAAGAAATTTACCAAGGAGATACATATCATCAAAAAGGGCAAAACAGAAATTCTGGAACCACAGAATTCATTGAATGAAATACAAAGTATGTTTGAAAGCTTCAGCAATAGACTAAATCAAACAGAAGAAAGAACCTTAGAAATTGAAGATAGGTCTTTTGCAAGAAGCCAGTCAGAAAAAATAAAGAAAAAATAATTTTAAAAGAATGAGTAAAGGTTGTGTGACATATGGGACACCACAAAGTGACCAAATATTCCAATTATCAAGATCCCAGAAGGCAATGAGCAAACAATAAGGTTAGAAAACCTATTTTTAGAAAAAGAATAGGTGAAAACTTCTCAAGTCTGGCAAGAGATTTACACATCTAGATACAAGAAGCTCTGAGATCCACAAACAGATAAAATGCAAAAAAGGTTTTCTTCACAGTGCATAATAGTCAATCTGCCAAAAGTCAAAGACAAAGAGATTACACTAAAAACAGCAATATATATATTTTTAGCTATGACGAAATTCCCATCAGACTAAATCAGATTTCTCTGCAGAAACATTATAAGCCAAGAGGAGAATGGGATGATATTTTAAAAGTGCTGAAAGTAAAACACTGAGAGCCAAAGATACTCTGTCCAGAAAAATTATCCTTCATAAATGAAGGGAAAATAAAGTATTTTCCATGTTTGAAATGCTTGTTCCCCAGTGCCGTCAAGTGCTGTTCCTTTACGGCACCAGGGAACAAGCATTTCAAACATGGAAAATACATTATTTTCCCTTCATATATGAAGGATAATTTTTCTGGACAGAGTATCTTTGGCTCTCAGTGTTTTACTTTCAGCACTAAGTTCAAGACCAGCCTGACCAACATGGTGAAACCCCGTCTCTACTAAAAATACAAAAATTATCTGGACATGGTGGCACGTGCCTGTAATCCCAGCTACTCAGGAGGCTGAGGCAGGAGAATCGCTTGAACCCGGGAGGTGGAGATTGCAGTGAGCCAAGATCACGCCATTGCACTCCAGCCTGGGTGGCAGAATGAGACTCTATCTGAAAAACAACAACAACAAAAAAAAAAAAAAAAAGAAGAAGAAATAGCACTTGGACATAAATTTAATTTCTTCAGCAAGGCCATTTTTACTTTCTGCAGAAAGGGTACACTCGCCAGCAGTTTTGCCACGAGAGTACACTGAACAAAGGAGACAGGGTCATTTATAACCTGACGCATCCACCCTGCTGCTGTGTCCGGTTTCCATTGGCTGGAATGGGATCTCACATTCTGTATTTGTCCCAACTGGCTAGCAACTTAGAACTTTTTAAAAGAGGCAAAGGCAGAGGAGACCAAAGGAAGGAGGAAGTAACTTGTGGAATGCTGAGAAAGGTAAAAACACCTCCACATAAGGAAGAGGCACAGGCTATGACCTAATGCTTGCTTGGACCAGTATAAGCATGCCAGGGCAAATATTTAGGCTAAATTGTGAGAGCTAGAACAGAAAGTATATTGATTTCTTTATTACGGCTAGCAGACATTTAAGAATGTTAGCACAGGTCTTTGAATAAATTTTGCTTCTAAGAGAAGTTACTATTTATTCCTAATTAGATGGGGAGGAAAGCCTTCAAAGAGGAACCTCTACTTTACTTTTCACATCCAGATAAGCAAAAGCTGCGGAAATTCCTCATCACTACACTGGCCCTACAAGGAATACTCAAGGGAGCTCTAAACATGGAAGCAAAAGGATGCCGTTTACCATGATGGAAACACACGCAAGTATCAAACTCACAGGAAAAACCAACACACAAATGAGAAAGAGAAAGGTCTTAAGTGGTACCACTACAAGAAACCACTAAAGTGCAGTGACAAATAATAACAGAAAAAGAAAGGAAAAATAGAATATACCAAACAATTAGAACACAATTCACACTATGATAGGGACAAAACTTCTCATATGAATAATATCCTTTAATGTAAATGGATTAAACCCTCTGGTTAAAACAGATAAACTAGTTAAGTGGATTAAAAAATAAACATGGTCCAACTCTGTGCTGTCTACAAGAAACACAATTTACCTGTAAAGGCACCTAAGATTGAAAGGGATCTGAAAAAGATATTCCACGTAAATGGAAACCAAAAGCAAGCAGGAGTAACTATACGTATTAGATAAAACAGACTTTGAGTCAAAAATGGTAAAGGAAAAGATAAAGAATGCCATTATATAATGATCAAGGAATCAATCTTATCTTATGAGAGGATATAACAATTCTCAATATGTATGCACGCAACCCTGGAGCACCAAGCTAAATAACACAAATATTACTCAATATAAAGAGAGATAAACTGCAATACAATAAGAATGGGAGATTTTAACAACCTACTGTGAACTCCAAATATCTGGGACAGGTCCCAGTCCATTTATAAAGTTTGTTTTCCCAAGGGTAAGGACGTGCACCTGTGGCCCACACAGCCTCAGGAGGTCACGATGACATGTGCCCAAGGTGTTTGGGACACAGCTTGGTTTTACACATTTTAAAAAGACACGAGACATCAAGCAATATATGTAAGATGAACATTGGTTCATTCTGGAAAGGTGGAACAACTCAAATCAGGCAGGGGGCTTCCAGGTCATAGGTAGACAATGGTTGCATTCTTTTGAGTTTCTAATTAGCCTTTCGAAAGGAGGCAGTCAGATACGCATTTATCTCAGTGAGCAGAGGGATGACTTTGAATAGAATAGGAGGCAGGTTTGCCCTAAGCAGTGCCCAGCTTGACTTTTCTTTTTAGTTTGATGATTTTGGGGCTCCAAGATTTATTTTCCTTTCACACTACTCTCAGCATAGAAAGATCATGTGTATAGAAAACCAACACAGAAACAGTGGATGTAAACTGGATTTTAGAAAATAAACCTAACAGACATTTACATAGCATGTTATCCAACAATTGCAGAATAGGCATTCTTCTCATAAACACATGTAATATTCTCCAGGATAGATAATATTAGTTCACAAAACAAGTCTAAATATGTTTTAAAAAATCAAAGTCATATCAAGTATGTTTACAGACTACAATGGAATAAACTGGAAATCAATGCCAAGAGGAACTTTGGAAACTATACAATTACATGGAAATTAAACAACATGCCACAAAGTCATTGAACAAATTCATGTGCAAATCAAAAAAATTCTTGAAAAAATTAAAATGGAAACAAAGCATACCAAAGCCTAAAGGACTCAGCAAGATCAAAACTAAGAGGGAAGTTTATACCAATAATTACCACCATCAAAAAGCAGAGATATTTCAAATCAATAATTAACAATGCACCTCAAGGACTGAGAAAAGCAAGAATGAACTAAACCTAAAATTAGAAAAAGAGAAGAAATAATAAAGATCAAAGCAGGCCAGAGGTGGTGGCTCAAGCCTGTAATCCTAGCAATTTGGGAGGCCTAGGTGGGCGGATCACTTGAGGATAGGAGTTTGTGACCAGCCTGGCAAACTTGGCAAAATCCTGTCTCTACTAAAAATACAAAAAAAAAAAAGAAAAAAAAAATTAGCTAGGCATGGTGGCATATGACTGTAATCCCAGCTACTTTGGAGACTGAGGCATAAGAATTGCTTGAACCTGGGAGGTGGAGGTTGCAGTGAGTGGATATGGCGCCACTGCACTCTAGCCTAGGCAACAGAGTGAGATTCTGTCTCAAAAAAAAAAAAAAAATCAAAGCAGAACTATATTAAATATAGACTTAAGAGCATAACTAAATTAAATATAGACTTAAAATACAAATAATTAACAAAAATAAAAAGTGAGTTTTTTTGAAAACATACAACAAAAGATAAACCACCAGCAAGATTAACCACATGAAGAATGGAGAAGTCCCAATTAAACAAAATTGGAAATAAATAAGGAGACATTAGAACTGATATCACAGGCCGAGTGCGGTGGCTCATGCCTGTAATCCTAGCAGTTTGGGAGGCTGAGGCAGGTGGATCACTTGAGGTCAGGGGTTTGAGACCAGCCTGCCCAACATGGTGAAACCCCGTCTCTGCTAAAAATACAAAATTAGTCTGGTGTGGTGGCACATGCCTGTAATCCCAGCTACTTGGGAGACTGAGGCAGGAGAATCGCTTGAACCTGGGAGGCAGAGCTTGCAGTGGGCTGAGATCCTACCATTGCACTCCAGCCTGGGCAACACGAGTGAAATTCCATCTCAGAAAAACAAAAAACAAAAAACAAAAAACAAAAAACTGATATCACAGAAATACAAGAGATATTAGAGACTTGTGAACAACTATTTGCGAACAAACTAGGAAACCTACAGGAAATGGATGAATTCTTGGAAACATACAACCTACCAAGGTTGAATCAGGAAGAAATGAAAAAGCAAAACAAACCAATAACAAGTAGCAAGATTGAATCAGTAACGACAAATCTCACAACAAAGAAAACCCCAGGACTTGAATTCACAGCCAAATTCTATCAAATGCATACAGAAAAATGAATACAAATCCTCCTAAAACTATTCAAAAATATGGTAGAGAAGGGAATTTTACATATATCATTCTACAAGACCATCAATACCCTGATACCAAAACCAAACAAGCACACAACACAAATATGACAAAACTACAAACCAATAACTCTGATGAACGTAGATGCAAATACCCTCGAAAGATACTACTAGCAAACCAGATTCAACAGCACATCAAAAAGATAATACATCATGATCAAGTGGGATCAATATCAGGGATGTAATGATGGTTTAACAAATGCAAATGAATAAACATGAGACATATTCAGATGTCCTTCAACTAAATAAAGGACAAAAACTATGTAATCATATCAACAGATGCAGAAAAATCATTTTATGATGTTCAACATCTCTTCATGGTAAAATCTCCCGACAGTCTAGGGATAAAAGGACCATACCTCAAAATAATAAACACTGTACGTGACAAACCCACAGCTAACATCATACAGAATGGGGAAAAGTTGAAAGTCTCTCCTCTAAGAACAGGGATAAGACAAAGACGTTAACTTTCACCATTCCTATTCCACATAGTAATGGAATTCCTAGCCAGCACAATTTCACAACAGGAAGAAATAAAAGCCATCTAAATTTTAAAAAGAGAAAGTCAAATTGTCCCTCATTGCAGATGACATGATCTTATATTTAGAAATACCAGAAGACTTAACCAAACTTTATTAGAGCTGAGAAAGAAGTTCTGTGAAGTTGCAGGATACAAAAATAAACATACAAAATTCATTAGACTTCCTGTGTACCAAAATGATGAAATACTTGTAAAAGGAATAAAAAAGGAAGTACCATTCACAATAGCTAAAAAACACCTGTGAATAAATTTAACCAAGGCAGTGAAAGATCTCTACAGGGAAAACTATAAAACATTAATGGTTGAAATTAAAGAGGGCATGAACACATAGAAAAGCATCCCATGCTCATGAGTCAGAATAATTAATATTATTAAAACGACCATACTATCCAAAAGTAATCTACATATTCAATGCTGTGCAGTATCCGACTCTGGAGCCCAGGTTGTTGTTCGCCAGTCTGATGGTGAATCCTCCGTAGGCTGGTGAGTGTAAATATCTTTTCCCTTATCCCCATCCCATTGCAGTTTGCTTATTATATCAATCTACTTATTATATCATTTGCTTATTTTTATATCATTTGCTTATTATATCTGCATTGCTATTTACATGGGATAAAGGTTGTTTACCCTTAAAGGTATTGTGTGTGTGTCTTTTCTTCTCTCCTCGCGCATTTCCCACACAGAACAAATGTCACTCCTATAAAATGTCCAATGGCATTTTTCACAGAAATAGAAAAAACAAATCTCAAAAATTGTATTGAACCAAAAAAGAGCCTGAATAGCCAAAGCAATCCTGAGCAAAAAGAACAAAGCTGGAGGCATCACAGTACCTCACGGGAAAATATGTTACAAAGCTACAGAAAACAAAACAGAATGGTATTGGTATAAAATAGACACATAGGCCAATGGACCAGAATAGAAAATCTAGAAATAAATCCTCAATTATACCCTCAAATTAGGTTTCCAGACTTTTCATTTTTCTTCTCTCTCAGGAACACCAGTGATTCTTGTTTGGCCATTTTACATAATTGTATATTTCTTGGAGACTTTGGTCATTTATTTTGATTTGTTTTTCTTTATTATTGCCTGAATGGGTTAATTTAAAAGGCCTGTCTTTGAGCTCTGAAAGTATTTCTTCTACTTGTTCTAGTCGATTGTTGAAACTTTCCACTGCATTTTGTAATTTTTTAATATCCAGAAGTTCTGATTGGTTTTTCTTTGTGATATCTATCTCTCTAGCCAATTTTTCATTCATAAACTGCTTTTATTAATTTCCGTGTGATGGTTTTTACCTTTCTCTGGTATCTCCTTGAGTGGCTTAATAATCCACCTTCTGAATTCTTTATCTGGTATTTCAAAGATTTTTATCTTGATTTGGATTCACTGCTGGCAAACTAGTGTGCTCTTTTGGGGGCTGTTATAGAACCCTATTTTGTCATATTACCAGAGTTACTTTTCTGGATGCTTTTCATTTGGGTACAATATTTCTTCTAATTATTCTTGAATTTTTGTTTGGTTTTACTGTGCTTTTTAAATTTCTTTTTTCCCCTTATGGATGTGACTTTAATGCTTACAGTTAATTATAGCCTAATTTGGTTTTGGTGCTTTCTTGAGTGAAGATTCTGTAAGAGGTCCTTGGTTATAGGGAGTGTTTGTATGATAGATTTCTTGTATGTTGGTTGTAGTAGCAATGTGCTTGGTGTATGAGCAAGTTCACTGTCTCCTATGGGGTTAGAATGGTAGAGTCCTCTTGAAGCTTATCTCCTTCCTCCATGGCATGCTATTTTTAATTAACTTTCCCCAGTATTTTATTCACTAGGTTGATGGTTCAGGCCTCAGGTCAGTATGGGGGATGTCCCTGGAAAGAAACCAGTTCTGGCTAAAGCAGGTCAGTAAATGCAATACCCAATGCTGGGCAGAGGCCCCAGCCTTGACCGAGGTTGCTTGAGGAGCTCTCAGTGAGTTGCACTGAGGTCTTATCGGGTAAAGGGTTGGAGCCACCTCAGCTCCCCTGCTGGGTCATCAGGAAAACTATCCACCTCTCAGACACACTCCTGTCCCTGTGCTCTGGCTATTCAGATCAAACAGGCACCTCCTTTTATCTGCAGGAATGTTGATATTCCAACTAGACAGGAATTGCGATTCTGTCTCTCATGTAAGTCTGAACCTGGGGTGGCGCTCCTCCTGTGACATGTTCCAGAAGTGCTGTTTATAGTTGCACCCACATCGAGATCATGTGGGAGAAGTACCAACTGTGCCTGTGGTGGTGAATGAGAAGGAAAAGGCAGCCCCTACTCCAAGACCCTTCACGTGCATCAGAGCTGTCTGACTGTTGGACTTGGGCTGCAGACATTCCCTGTTGAGCCCAGCACTGCAACTGTGTCTCTGCTGAAAGAAACTTCCCACCAGCAGAAAGATCTGGTGCTCAAGGTCTGCCATCCAGATCCTTTCTCTTATGTGGTGTTCCCTTGCTGTGGTGCACTCCTCCTTTCCCTAGGAGTGAGAATCCCTGGGAGCCAGACTACTGTGAGTATTGTTGCTCCTCTGGGTCTAGCTACCCAGCGAACTTGCCACACTCCAGGCTGGTGCTAGCAAATATGATCAAGGGATGCAGTGATGCGACCTGTCCTGAAGGCTTCTAGCAGTGGGTAGCAGCACCAGCTCTAATGGGGGTAGCAGCGGAGTGACGTAGATTCTGTGAGATTCCTTGGTTATTGATAGCCTTAGTGTGTTGGCTTTCTCGAACGCAGGTTACAGTAGTAATGAACTGGTCACGTGGACAGACTCAGGACCTCCTGGTTAGCCAGAATGGTGCAGGCAGTTGTGATAGCCGAGGTCACACAGCCATTTGCTCTTTGCTGGATGCAGTGCTATTCTACCAGGAGATGCTGTAATGGACTGTGTTGGTGGGCCTCTAGCCAGGACCTAGGGCTTGCAAAAGAGCACCAGCTGCAGCAATAGCAGTGGGATTTTTGCTTGCCTTATGTTGCCCAGGGGGTACCCTGGTTTCTCTGGCAATGGGCAGGGTCATATGGCTCCCCAGAGTTTTTGTACGTTGTGTTAAGCTACCAGGACAGGTGACAGGGCAAAGCCAGGTGGGGGCTAGATCGGGTGGGTTTGCATTCTGACTTTCCATGGGTAGGGCAAGCAGCAGTCCCTGTGAGTGTTGGGGGCATAGGGGAAGTTCTCAGGCCACTGGCTTGATGTTCTACAGGGGAGCATTGCTGCCTCTGCTGCACAGAAGAGTGGGGAGTAGCAGGCATCAGTAAGCCCCACACAGATGTCACTCAATTTGCAAGGCAGACCCACTCCCACCTACAGTGTTCCACTGGCAGCAGGGAGCTGAGTTGCAGACAGCCTGCACTCAGAACTCACAACTGCCCCAGGTTATAAGCTTTCCCTGCAGAGATAGCAACGACAGCTTTCAGGCTGTGCCCCTTCCGCATCTGCCTGCAAAACTGAGTGCCTGACTCCTGCACTCTCACTCCTGGCTGCAGCCCACTTTTCACTTGCCCTGCCCCTGCCCCTGCCCCTGACCAAGGGGGTTTGTTCTCACCAGAGGTTATATTGTGAAACCCAATCGGGGTCTTCCTTCAACCTGAAACCACTGCCTGAACTATTTGGCTGACCTCCACATCGCCCCCTATGAGGAACAATAAGTAATGTCTTCCCTCAATCCACGCTGGAGATTGGGAGTGCACACAAGCATCTTCCCATTGCTACTTCTAGTTTTATATTCTATGACCCTTCCCAACTCAGTTCTTGTGCTGAGTAGGGTTAAGGCTTTCCTCTGTGGTCTGGACTTTCAGGCTCCCTGGTGTGTGTGTATCTTCAAGGCAAACTCTCCCCCTCTTACACTCCGGGGACTCACAGCCCTTTATCTGACTCATAGTGTAGGTTGCAGCCTGCTGCTTCCCTCAGAGGGGTCTGTGGATTCCTTCAACTTTTATGTTCAGTTTCTGCATCACTTAAAAAGTTCACAGTGTGAATCTCTACTCACGATTTTGTCCCTCCAACTAGGAGAGGTATGCTAGCAATGGCAGATTAGAGGTATGCTGGCGATGCCTCGAACCTGCCATATTGGAAAACAAAACAACACAAAACAAAACAAAACCTAGTATGTAATGTTAACAGGAATTGTTCAAGCAGTGATGCAAGTTACTTTAATGAAGTAAAGTTAAATGTCAAGTGAATCAAATCTAATTGTACATTAGCATATGTGCAAAGTAACAGATATAGGTCACAAGATAAGAACTCAATCCAAATGGGAACGAAGGAAGCAAACAGGAATACAGTTCCCATACCAAATTAGCAGGTTCATATAAAGAGTATATTAGAGCGATGGCTATAACCAAATGGCAAAATTTTGAAAGCAAATGTTCTAATCTCAGAATACCATTCTGCATCTTATAGAAGAATAAATGGTTGTATACTGGAAGTCAGAGGTAGGAACCCGCTTGTTAGCTCTCTTGGGACTCCAGCAGTTGCTCACAGCAGATACAAAAACTGAATATCAAGAGGTTAGGTAGGGCTAACTTGGATCTGATATAAAAATTTCATTTGTTATAAAGGACCATGAAAGCATTAAAAGAGACTTTTCTGTATCTGTAGTAAAGCCCTGGCATTTTGGCTTCTAAATTTCATAGTCTACCTTTCTAGCTGAGTTCAAAATATAGTCAAGCTCTTTTCCACTTGATAATTTCCTTGTTATTCCATTTGAACTTTCTTCACCTAATTAGGTAATGTCCTTGAGATCTGCAATTCTCAGCACCACAAGCCCTCTTATTAACTTCAAGGGGAAAAAACAGGTGACATTACTGTCCCTTTTCTTCCTTTCATCCATTTGAGTAGTTTGATCCAATTAGAAGAGACCTCTGTGAGAAATGGGTATACTTAGAGCTCAAAACATATTTGCATATGACAACATTTGGGGATAATAATAATAATTGTTTTCTAAACAGCCATAAACTTAATCTTCTAAAAAGCAAATATAAAAGCCATTTTAAATTGGAATATTATTTTCAGTAAGCAAAGCTGAAAATCAAGTTAAGTGTACAGTCTGATTCCAAAAGCAACATTCGTGTTTCTGTCTGCCACTTTTGATATATAGTCTTGCCTGAAGCATTCTGTTTGACTTTTTCAGTGTCAAACTCAAATGACATTTTTCTAAGATTGATATTAAAAAATTTAACTTCTTTCTTGCCAAAATGAGAGAAACATCTGTAAACAACTTTTAAGATTCGTTGGCTTTATCCTAAAACAAAATGATAAGGTCAGTGATTTTAGACTTTATCTATCTGTTGCATCTTCTGTCTTTGAAGAAGGATATTTGGAAATGTTCAATTTGCTCTCCAGAAAAACAAATCTAAGGATTTAAAAAAATACGCCATAGCACTTATTATACTGTATTAGAATTAACATGATGTGAGCTATTTGGAAGAAAGGTATAAAAACCAATCTTCAAGATAGCACCATGATTATCCTTACCTATTGTATTCATGCTCCTAGGTTGTCCTCATCCACAGTGAATCAGGGTTAGCCTGGTATAACCAGTAGAATATGGCAGAAGTGGCAGTATTGACTTCCAAGACTGCCATAAAGAGCATTGCAGCTTCCACACTGGTCTCTTATCATTCATTCTGGGAAAAGCCAATTGCCATGTTAGAAGACCAAGAAGAGCCTAATGTAGAGTCCTCCATGGAGAGGAACTGACTCCTTCTGCTCTCAGGCAGCATGATCTTGCCAGCCATGTAAGTAAACCACCTTTAAAATGTATCCCCCACACAGGGTCAAGCCTTCAGATGACTACAACTCTGACACCTGGTTGAGAAACATGGAGCCACAACTGTACAGTCAAGTGCTCCTGAAATTCCTGACCCTGAGAAACTATAAGAAGTACTGAAAACATATTGGTGTTTTAAGCCACTAAAGTTTGGTACTATTTGTTGGGCAGCAAAAAATAACAAATCCATAAGAGATTGTGTCTGACTTTTTAGCAAGTACTGTCCTCCAATAAATGTTTTTTATTTAATGAATGAATAAATGAATGATAGAATTTAATAGATAAATAGAGAGAATGATAGAATAGATAGAATAAATAGAATGAATTAATAGAAGTAGAAAATCTCTAAAAAACAATGGTGACTTATAAGTATCCCCTCTGACTTGGGAATCATAAGAATTCCCCAGTCTGAAACACCTCTGGTTGGCCTCCGGGAATGTGACTCATTGGAAAAAAGACCCTTTCCTAATTTTTCTCAGTCTATCATACCACAATTAATATCAATGCAAATGAAAACATAGTATTCTCCTCCTAATTACTCCTGCATTACCACGATGTTTCGCTGGCCGAAGTTTAATGGGATTACTTAACTTTTAGGATCCTAAATTTTGTTAGGGGTTGCAAGGGTACTTGGTCATTTCATAAGATCTGTCTGCATTTGCCTGCATTTGTCTTCTTTTCAATGAAAGCTCATTTACTATGCTAACCATTTTATAAAGCAGTATTTTACGTGGTGAGAAATCTGCTTATTTATTTATTTATTTTTGAGATGGAGTTCACCCTGTCATCCAGGCTGGAGTGCAGTGTGTGATCTCGTCTCACTGCAACCTCCACCTCCTGGGTTCAAGTGGTTCTCCTGCCTCAGCCCCACGAGTAGCTGGGATTATACAGGCAAATGCCACCATGCCTGGCCAATTTTTGTATTTTTTGTAGAGACAGGGTTTCACCGTATTGGCCAGGCTGGTCTCGAACTCCTGACGTCAAATAATCCACCCGCCTCGGCCTCCCATAGTGCTGGGATTACAGGCGTGAGCAACCGTACCCAGCCAAAATCTACTCATTTATTTTCTATTTTACCTCATAAAATAGCCATTGATAAACCCCTTATTTAAAATGAAAGATTCTTCCAAAGCTATTCTAATGTGGTTACTTATGAAGTGTTATTTATAACTTATTATAATCTATAATATCCTATTTGAAAACAGTCAATTAATAATTTTGACTAAATAAACAGGTCAACTTAACAAGCAGTCAATTCTCCAAGCCAATACATTGTTTTAAGGTTTTTATCCTCCTATCTTGACCAATCTTGTATACTGAATTGACTCGGTGTTTTAGTGTCATGGATACACAAACATTAATATGCCAATAGTAATCTAAATTAAACTCTGATGACATGATTTACCAGTAGATCTGCATTTTAGACATTATGTACTATACAAATCTCACCCATTTTCATTTTGTCTTTTTTTTCATTCATGAATGTTTCAGATGCATACAAAAATAGAAAACAAATATGACACCTATCCAGATTTAAAAGATATTAAAATTTTGCCTTATTTGTAGCCAATATTTAAAAGAAATTGAAGCACTAACCCAAATAGTTTTTCTTTTCCCCATGGAACATTTGTATATTGTTGCAATGTCAATTTTTGTAATTTTACTCCATATTTATTTGTGTTTATATACGATATATGGTATTGTTGTGTGTGATTCAAAAACATACATGAGCTGGAAAAAAAAAGCTAATAAGTCTATGATATGGTTTGGGTCTGTGTCCCCACCCAAATGTCCTGTAAAATTTGGAGGTGGGGCCTAGTGGAAGTGATTAGATCATGGGATCAGATTTCCCCTTTAGTGTTGTTCTCCTGATAGTGAGGGAGTTATCCCAAGATCTGGCTGTTTAAAAGTGTGTGGCCCTTCCCCCTCTCTCTTTTCCCCCTGCTCTCCCCATGTAGGGCGTGCCTGCTTCCCCTTTGCCTTCCGTCATAATTATAAGTTTTCTGAGGCTTCCCCAGCCATGCTTCCTGTACAGCCTGTGTAACTTTGAGCCAATTAAGCTTCTTTTTTTAAATAAATTACCCAGCCTCAGGAATTTCTTTATAGTAGTGCAAGAACAGACTAATACAGCCTAATAAAAACTTAAGGCTAGTATTAATAAAAACTACATTAGTCTTTGTAGATAATTTTGTAAACTCCTTCAACATTATTATTTTAAGAGTTATTGATGTTAATTCAAGTAAACCTAGTTCATTCATTTTTATTGTCACATATACCTATATCACAGTTAATTTTCCATTTCTCTATTGACGGACATTTTAGATTGCTCCCTATTTTTGGATATTATAGTAGACGTGGAATGAAATCCTTAAGTATGTCTTAAATGTAAACTCAAGACTTTCTCTGTGACATATATCCAAGAATATAATTGCTGAAAGGAGGGCATATGCTTCTGCAAGTATAACTAGGTTTCAGCAAACTGTTCTCTACAGTTACTGTATCAATATACAGCCTTATTAAAATGTGAGTTTTCATTTCCTCACATTTCTGTCAATTGTTGTTGGGAGACCCTTTAATTTTTGCCAACTTGATGGGTGTGAAATTGTATCTTAGTATTGTTTCAATTGTATTTTTCTGAATAGTAAGGCTTTGAAAATGTTTTCATTTTTAATGGCTATTCTGAATTTTTCTGTTACTTTTCTAATAGTTGTTTTAATCATTTGCAAATATAATCTCTTGATCTGTGGTTTGTTATTTTGTGATGACATTTTTAGCATGAACAAATCTCATATTTTAATGTAGTATAATTTATTAATTTTCTTTTTATGATTTGTGTTCTTAGTGTCTTGTTTAAAAAATTCTTCTGTACTGTAAGGCAATAAAGATGAAGATACTATCCTATATTTTAATCTAAGAGTTTGTGAAATGAAAATAAATCTTTGGGTCTCCAAATCACCAAGATAAAGGGAAAAGTCAGGCTGGGAACTGTAGGGCAACCCTGCCTCCCATTGTATCCAAAGTCATCCTTCTGCTCCCTGAGATAAATGCATATCTGATTGCCTCCTTTGGAGAAGCTAATCAGAAACTCAAAAGAATGCAACCATTTGTCTCTTATCTACCTATAACCTGGAAGGCCCTCCCTGCTTGAGTAGTCCTGCTTTTCTAGACCGAACCAATGTTCAGCTTACATATGTTGATTGATGTCTCATGTCTCCCTAAAATGTATAAAACCAAGCTGTGCCCTGACCACCTTGGGCATGTGTCATCAGGACCTCCGGAGGCTGTGCTATGGGCGTGCATCTTTAAATTTGGCAAAATAAACTTCCTAAATTGACTGAGACCTGTCTCAGATTTTTGGGGTTCACAAGTTCCACAGGTTTTTTTCATATTGGTCTTTAATTCATTCAGAATTTATCTTCCTATACAATATGGAATAGTGACTCAACTCATGTCTGCTTCTCAAATATGGATAGCCAATTATCAAAAACCCATTATCGAATGACCCTTGCTTTTACTATTGATTTGAAGGATATAATAACATACAAATTTCCAAGTATATATGTAAAACTATTTCTGTATGCACCGTTTCCTACCGTTTATCTCTTTTTCCTTATTTTTGAATGAGTATCTCATTGTATAAATACTGTAGCTTTCTAATAAGTCCGAATTTCAGTTGGAAAAGCATCCCATTTCCTCATTTGAAGTTGTCTAGACTATTTTTGGCCTTTACTATTTGAATGAATTGCAAAAGATTTCAACTGCAGGTATCCAAAGACTCAAATGTATAAGATTTAAGCACACCTTTCACACATAAAAAGAATTCTGCTTATTCTGCATGTAGATAGCTGCCTGCGTTGTTTCAGCATCGCAGTAATGTCAGGACTGGGGCCCGTTTAATTCCCTTGGTCTTTGCCTCAATAGTGGAAGTTGTCTGCCACACCTCCAAGTAACATGTTCCCTTTGAAGGCATTGTAGGGGGAATGTGTGGCCCCTACCCAGTGTCTTATTAGGAAATCAAAGGCCTTATGAGAAGCCCCCGGCAGATTTTTATGTATCCCTGGGCAAAACAGGATCTCATATTTAAATCTTGCAACAAAAGAGTCGAGGAAGAGGTGTGTGTTATGGTTTGAATGTTTGTGTCTCCTCCAAAATTCGTGTTGAAACTTCAATCCCCTGTGTGGTAGTATTTAAAGGTGGGGTCTTTGAGAGGGAGAGGATCAGGAGAAATAACTAATGGATGCGAGGCTTAATACCTGGGTGATGAAATAATCTGTACAACAAACCCCATGAAACAGGTTTACCTATGTAACAAACCTGCACACCCTGCACACATTCCCCTAAACTTAAAAGTTAAAAATAAAAGAAATAAGACATGCAAACACACACACACACACACACACAAACACACACACACACACGTAATTAAGTCACAAGGGCTTTGTCTTCATGAATGCAATTAGTAACCCTATAAAAGGTCTGGGGGGAACTAATTAGTTCCTTTTGTTCTTTCATCCTTTCTGCCATGTGAGGACACAGCATTTATCTCCTTTGAATGATGCAGCAACGTGGGGGCCATCTTGGAAGCAAAGATGGGGCCCTCACCAGTCATCAATCCTACTGTTGCCTTAATCTTGGACTTTCACTCTCCAGAATTGCGAGAAATAAATTTGTTGCTTATGAATTACCCAGTCTTGGGTATTTGTTATAGCAGTATAAATGGACTAGGACAGATTTTCTAATCTATACTGAGAAAGCTGACAAGGGAGCAGATATGACTGAGAATACTTGTGAGTGATGCCATGAATAGTCCACCCTACTCTTCCACGTGAAAGATTGGATCGGCTTTTCAGTCTGTGAGAAAACCTGATGGGTTTTTGACTGGGATTTAGAGATTGAATATAGGGTTTAATGTAAGGAGAATTGGCATGTATATAACATTTAGCCTTTTCATGCTAGAACATGAGTATTTTACTTATTCATGTCTTCTCATGTTTTTCAGTAAACTAATTTTCTCCATAAGGGACTTGATCTTTTATTTTAAAATATGAATTCCTAGGTATCTCATTGTATTGCTGTTAATGTAGTGGTATATTTGAAATATATTTGTACACACATTATCTATCTATCTATCTATCTATCTTTATTTCCTTTTACTGATATATAGAAGTACTATTTGTTCCTGTCTAGTTCCTGGAATGCAGGTTTCAGGATGGAACGGACTTTTGTCCATTTTCTTTACTGCTGGGCTTCCAACGTCTAGAACAATGCCTGAAAGATAATTTGTGTTCAATAAATATTTCCTCAATGAATGAGTTAAATAACCTATTACTTAGAAAATTTGTGAATCTATCTTTTTATCATTTAATACAAAGCGTTTTTATGTAGATTCTCTTGAGTTTTCTATTTAGAAAAACTTACCTGTGAATGATGGTAGCTATGCTTCTTCCTCTCTGATTCTAATATGTTTTGTCTTAATAGATCTTAAATCTCTAGTCTTAGGTTAAGAGTGGTAATATTGGACCTACTTCTCTTGCTCTTACTTCTCTTGTATTTAGAGGAAAATGTTCCTACAGTTTCACAATTAAGTATGATATTTACTGTCAATATTTGGTAGAAACAGTTGATCATATTCAGGATATCGTTTTCTTTCCATTCTCATTTGGTTATTCATTTTTTAAAATCCAGAACCTATCTATTTATGCAACTTAAAGTTCATTTTTCTTCTTTAAATTGGTAATGTGTTGAATTATATTAATATATGTTCTATTGTTATCTTTGCATTCCTAGAGTCAAACCTTATTTGATCATGATATAGTATTATTTATACATTGTGGGAATCACTTCACTAATATTGCATTTAGGGTTTTAGGTCTATATTTGTAATAGAGATTTACTTATATGTACTTATATCACTTATATTTACAGCATATTTCTCATATGGTGCTTGTTTGTTTTTGGTACCAGGTTTGTTCCTTCCTCATAAAATGAGTTGAGGGTGGTTCATTGCAATACACAAAACTGTTAGAATCTATAGATTACTTTTGGGCTCGTTAGGCTCTCCAGCGGAGTGCTAGCAGTCATACCAGTGGCAGAGGTAGCGGGTAGGCAGGATAGGGGCATATATGTTCAGCTGTGAGTTTTCTAGAAACTGAGACGGGAAGTGGTCTTTTATTTTCACCTTTTAATATGTGTAGTGTTAAAGGTATAATCTTGGAAGCAGCCTGTCTAGCCAATTCCATGCTTTGTCACTTAATAGATTTGCATTCTTGGTCAAATATCTTAACCTTACTGTGTCACAGGTTTTTCATATGTGACATAGAGTAGTGGTGAGGATGAAATAAATTGACACAGTTAAATTGCTTATAGCCTCTGACATGCATTAATTACTCAGTGAATGTTCGTTTTCCTTCTCCCGTTTTTTGACCTTTTTCTTTCCTTCTTTCTTCTTCCTATCAACTCTCCATTTTTTCTCTCTTCCATTTTGGTACAATGCCCATAGGATCAGTTGTGTCTGGTGCCTAGGAAGCCAGAATATTTTGCTTTAACATCTTCAAATAGTATATTTCCCTGCCAGGTTGACAGAGGTTTAGACACCTATTCGTTGTGGGATAGGTGTGTAGACCTACTTCTTTTACCAATATTTAGATAATCTAGTTTTCAGCTCCACCCATTTACTCTTACATTCAATTCTGAACTATTCTGGAATTCTGTGGCCCAAATAAGCTTCCATCTTGGCTTCTTGTACTGCTGATGACTTAAATGTGCAATTCCCATTGGGTATGCTGTCCAACTTTAACAAAATGGGTTGCCTCTTCTCTATTTTTCTTGTATGTTTTTAATTTTTACATTCATTTTTCAAAAGTTTTGCTTTTAAATAAGTATTTATATGGTTAAAAAATTAAAACAATACCAAAAACAATTCAATGAAAAGTCTCATTTTTCTCCTACACATGCAGATAGTGACAATTTTCTGTTTCTTGTTTATCCTTTTAGAATTTTTTAGGCAAAATCAATCAAACATAAATATTTGTTTTTTTTTCTTTTCTATATGAGAAAGGTAGCATACACTCTACATACTGTACTACTGAACATTGCTTATTCTTTTTAAACTTCACATTGTATCCTGATGATCTTTTCAAATAAGTATATAGAGAGGTTTCTCATTCATTTTTTTAAGTTGCTAAATAGTACTCCATTATATGATTGTAACACAGTTTATTTATTGATTCACTGTGAACAGACAGTTGAATTCTTTCTCATTTTATGCGTTGTAAATAATGCAACAGTGAATTAATTTATACTTCTCTGATGTTTAACTCATGCATGTATACTTGTAGAATAAATTCCAAGAGGAAGGATTGCTTCATCAGTGCATAAATGTATTTGTAATTTTAATAGATATTCACAAATTTCCCTTCAGTGGGATTTTACATTACACTTTCATCAGCAATGTATGGGAATGTGTGTTTCCCCCAGACTTGCCAACGACGAGTTATCAAACTTTTAGATTATTTGCCAATCTGATAGGTAAAAAATGCTATCTAATCAAAACTGTAATCTCTATTTATTTAGTGACATTGGCCATTTTTATATGTTTGATGGCAATTTGCAATCTTTTTTTGTAAGCTATTCATATTTTTTTTGCTCATCATTATTGGATTACTGATCTCTTTAATACTATTTTAGGGAGATCAGAACTTTGTAATAATATGAGTTTCAAATTATTTCTAAATATGTCATTATCATTTTGACCTTGCTAAATTTTTGTAATATAGAAATTAACGGGTGTTTTTCTCATAGTCTACATCAATTTTTCTTTTATGGTTTCCAGATTCAGAGCCATTAGAGAAGTTTATTTCCAATTCTAAGGTTATAAAGAAATTTGTCTATTTTTTCTTTTATTACTTTTATAATTTCATTTTAAAAAAATATTTGTCACATGTGGAGTGATGGTATTTTGCATGAGTAAATTCAACTTGATTTTTCCCATTCATATGGCTGTACAGTTGTTTCAAAGTCATTTACTACAAAGTTTTCTCCCAAATTGATATCTATTTCAGAAACAGATATGTAAGTTTATTTCTAGAACTGCCATGGCATTCTCCTGTTCATATGCTCCATATATTTTTTTCATTACTGAGGCTTCATAATAATATTTGGTAGGATTAATTTCTTCCCATTGTTTTTTGTTTTCAGAATTTTACTGTATATTTTTGTTATCTTATTTTTTATATGAATAATAGAATCAGCTTGTCTAGTACAAAACAAAACTCTGTGTGTAGTTTTGTTGATATCATGTTAAGTTAATAAATTAATAATCCTCTAAAGAGTGACATTTTAATAATATGGACTTTTCTCTCTTAATAACATGGGGTAGTAAAGGTATTATATGAAAGTTTAATTATAAAGATAAACCTTAAAATAAAAACATGTAACTTTCTAACTTTTGGTTGTCTACGACTAAAAACAAAACTAAGAAAACAGGTTATGTAATAAAAGACACACAGAAATGACAGAACAAATACAAAATCTTTCTGTCATCATAAAATTTAATTGGGCTGAATCCATTGGTTAAGAGAAAAATAATTTTAATTAGATCATGAAACAATTCAAGTCTACAGTGTACACAAGAGACATTTTAAAATAATGTGATTTTTTAGGTTAAAATTAAAATGATTGGCAGATACATCCTAGGTAAATAGAAACAAAAAAATCGGTCTCAAAATCTGAATATTCAACTCAATGTAATTCAAGCCTTTGAAACATTACATGAGACAAAGAAGAACACTTTATAATTCTAAGTAATATTATTAACAAGAAAGATGTGTGTGTGTGTGTGTGTGTGTGCGCATGTGTGCATTTTCCTGAAAACATTTTTTTTTCAATTTTATTCTTTAATAATACCTAGCTGAGTATAGAATTTTAGGAAGCTAGTTATTTCCCCTACACTATTTTGAGGGTTTATTTTCTATTCTCAATAACTATTCTCTGACGTTGTTAGTACTATTGAGATAGCTGTTACCAGTTTGTCATTTCTTTTTTAGATAAACTGAATTTTTTACAGTTGCTTTTCAGGTTTTCCATTTGTTTTCAATATCCTGTATCGTGTTGCATGTGGATTTTATTTGACTTTTCCTGCTGAGATTAAAGAGTGTGCTCCTTCCTAATAATTCTTTATTTCATCAATTGTGGAAGAAAAAGCCAATTATTATTCCTATTCTCTATTTCTGGGATTTGATGAGAAATATGTTTATTGTCTGATACTTTCCCCCACATCTCTTAATCTCTTAGTTTACATTTCTTTTTTTCTTTTGTTACATATTCTTGGTAACTGAATCATTGATAGCTTCCAGTTCAATATAGTTTATTCGTCTATGATTTTTTTCTTTCTAATTTTTGTGGGTACATAATAGGTGTATATATTTATGGGATACATGAGTTATTTTGATACAGGCATCCAATGTGTAATAATCGCATCATGTAGAATGGGATCTCCATCCCTTCAAGCATGTATCCTTTATGTTACAAACAATTCAATTATTCTATTTTAGATATTTAAAAATGTATAATTAAATTATTGACTATAGTCACTGTGATGTGCTATCAAATACTAGGTCTTATTCATTCTTTCTAATTATTTTTTTGTACCCATTAACCACTCCCACCTCCCCCATACTACCCACTACCCCTCCCAACTTCTGGGAACCATCCTTCTATTCTACCTGTATGAATTCAATTATTTTAATTTTAAAATCCCACAAATAAGTAAGAGCATGCAATATTTGTCTTTCTGTGCCTGGATTATGCACTTAGCATAACGGCCTCTGATTCTATTCACGTTGTTGCAAATGACAGTATCTCACTCTTTTTCAAGGATAAATAGTACTCCATGGTGTATATATATCACATTTTCTTAATCCATTTATCCGTGGATGAACACCTAGGTGGTTACCAAATACTGGGGGGTATTGTGGCCAGTGCTGCAACAAACATGGGAGTGCAGATATCTTCTATATATGAATTTCCTTTCTTTTATGGTATACCTAGCAGTGGCATTGCTGGATCATATGGTAGCTTTATTTTTAATTTTTGGAGAAGACTCAAAACTGATCTCCATAGTGGTTGTACTAATTTATATTCCCACCAACAGTGTATGAGTGTTTCCTTTTCTCCACATCCTAGCCAGCATTGGTGATTGCCTGTCTGTCTTTTGGATATAAGCCATTATAAATGAGTTGAAATGATATCTCATTTTAGTTTTGATTTGCATGGCTCTGATGATCAGTGATGTTGAGCACCTTTTCACATGCCTATTTGCCATTGCTATGTTTTCTCTTGAGAAATGTCTTCTCAAATCTTTTGCCCATTTTTTGATTGGATTATTAAATTTTTTTCCTATAGAGTTGTTTGAGTTCTTTATATATTCTGGTTATTAATCCCTTCTCAAATGGGTACTTTGCAAATATTTTCTTCTACTCTGTGGGTTGTTTCTTCCCTTCGTTTATTGTTTTCTTTGCTGTGCAGAAGCTTTTTAACTTGATGTGATCACATCTATCCATATTTGCTTTGGTTTCCTGTGCTTGTGGGGTATTGCTCAAGAAATTTTTGCCCAGACCAATGTCCTGGAGGGTTTCCACATTGTTTTCTTGTAGTAGTTTCATAATTTGAGTTCTCAGACTTAAGTCTTCAATTTATTTTGATTTGATTTTTGAGCAGGGTAAGAGATAGGGGTCTAGTTTCATTCTTGTGCATATAGATACCCAGTCTTCTCAGCACCATTTATTGAAGAGACTGTCCTTTCCCTAGTGTATATTCTTGGGATCTCTGTTGAAAATGAGTTCACATTAGGTGTGTGGAATTGGGTTTGTTTCTGGGTTTTCTATTCTTTTCCACTGGTCTATGTGTCTGGATTTTTTGTTTGTTTGTTAGTTTTTGTCAGTACCATGCTCTTTTGATGACCTTAGCTCCGTAGTTTAATTTGAAGTCAGGTAACACGATTCCTCTGGGTTTGTTCTTTTTGCTTAAGATAGCTTTGGCTATTCTGGGCCTTTTGTAGTTCCACATAAATTTTAATTTTTTTTTTATTTCTGTGAAGAATGTCATTGGTATTTTGATAGGGAATGCATTGAATATGTAGATTACTCTGGGTAGCATGGACATTTTAACAATATTTATTCTTCCAGTTGATGAACATGAAATATAATTTTATTTTTTGGCATCCTCTTCAATTTCTCTCATCTTTGTTCTGTAGTTTTCATTATAGAGATATTTCACTTATTTAAGTTAATTTCTAGGTATTTAATTTTATTTGGGGCTATGTTAAATGGTATTGCCTTTTAAATTCTTTTTCTGATTGTTCACTGTTGGCATATAGAAATGCTATTGATTTTTGTATGTTGATTTCGTATCCTGCAACTTTACTGAATTTGTCAGTACTGATGGATTTTTAGTAAAGTCTTTAGGATTTGACGAATATAAAATTGTATCATCTACAAACAGAATTATTTGGCTTCTTCCTTTCCTGTTTGGATGATATTATTTCTCTCTCTTTTCTGATTGCTTTAGCTAAGACTTCCAGTACTATGTAGAATATCAAAGGTAAAAGTGGGCATCCTTGTCACATTCTAGATCTTAGAGAAAAGGCATTCAGCTTTTCCCCATTCAGTATGATACTAGCTGTGGGTCTGTTGTATATGGCTTTTACAATGTTGAGATATGTTCCCTCTATACCCAGTTCTTTGAGGGTTTTTACCATGAAGAAATGTTGAATTTTATCAAATGCATTTTCAGTATGAATTGCAATTATTGTGTGGTTTTTGTTCTTCATTTTGTTTATATGATGTATTGCATTGATTAATTTGCATGTTGAACCATCCTTGCATCCCAGGGATTAATTCCACTTGCTTATAATGAATGATTGTTTTAATATATTGTTGAATTCGGTTTGCTAGTATTTTTTTCCTTATATTCAGATTTTTTAGTTGGTTTACTAGCATTTTATTGAAATTTTTTACATCAGTATTGCCCAGATATTGGCATGTAGTTTTCCTTTTTTGATGTGTCTTTGTCTGGTTTTGGTATCAGGGTAATACTGGCCTCATAGAATGAGTTGGGATGTATTCCCTCCTCCTCTATTTTTTTGGAAGACTTTGAGTAGAAATGGTATTCTTCTTT